>NW_003315956.1:0-289831 GCF_000001405.40 Homo sapiens | reverse complement strand
GAATTCCTTTGTGAAAATGCTGATGTTTATATAGCAGGTTTGCTTTAAAAGGAGGTAGAGCTACAAAATCATTCATTAAAACTTGGAAAAATAAGCTCAGTACAGCCTTTTCTTTTTGAGAGTTTTAAAACTCTCTTCACATTTGTAGTTTTAATTTAGCATGACCTGATTTTTGCCAGCATTGACCATTCATCTAAAACTTGATGGTCAATCTCTGTAATAACTGTTGCAGCAAAAGGAGGGCTCGGCTAGAAGTGAGGAGAACTGGGCTCTGTATACCATGTCACCTCTAATTCCCTGTGGGATCTTCAGAAGTTATTTGATCTTCAGGTTCCTCATTTGTAAAACAAGAGAATAAATACTCTCGATGATTTTCTTCCAACTCAAACAACATGTGATTCTAATTCTCTTGTGAACAATGACATTAGTCTTGTAGAAAGGGCTTCATTTATTCCTTTTGTTTTCCTAGAAATGTATAATTATTTGGGAGAAAATACCTTAAATCCAATTCCATAAAAGAAAAGACTAAGGAATGAATATATGTGCCATAATGTACTAGACACAGTAAGGCTACAAAAAGAGAGACAGCCTATATTGCTGAAATTAATGAGGAAAACAATCATCTAACTATGATTCAAGACAGAATGAAATAGATGCAATGGCACAAAACCAGAGAGGAGGCAGCTTGGAGTATTTAAAAAAAGAATGTCTAGAATAAAGAGCAAAATTCTTTTTACCAGGGATAAAAGAACGCCGATGTGGAATCAGAAGTGGCTTCTAGTCCTGGAATACTAGGGAAGCAGGTAGTAACTATATCATCTAAGACAAGCCACACATCTTCCCGTAGCTTCAGTTTTCCCCTCTGTAAAATGGAAATCATATAATACTGGCTCAAAATACCAGACAGCACCACTAGGAGGCTCAAAGAAGACATTGGTATAAGAGGACTTGAAAAAATGCTGCAGAATATAAGTTACACAAAACCATGGAGGATATATGTGACCTATATTGACCATATGTTCCTATAGATTTTGGTCTGATGATTAACAAAAACCAGAATTTCTAATGAGAAATTAGTCTAGAGCAGTGGTCCCCAACCCTTTTGGCATCAGGTACCAATTTCATGGAAGACAATTTTTCTGTGTACAGGGCTGGGTATGGGAGATGCATACAACTCACCATGATGTAGAATCAGTGAGAGCCCTGAGCTTGTTTTCCTGTAACTAGACAGTCCCATCTGGGGGTGATGGGAGACAGTGACAGATCATCAGACATTAGATTCTCATAAGGAGCATGTAACTTAGATCCCCCACATGTGCAGTTCACAATAGGGTTTGTGCTCCTATGAGAATCTAATGCCGCCACTGTTCTGACAGGAGGCAGACTCAGGCAGTCATGCAAGCCATGGGGAGCGGCTGTAAATAGAGATGAAGCTTTGCTGGCTTGCCCACTGCTCTCCTCCTGCTGTGCGGCCTGGTTCCTAACAGGTCACAGACCAATACTTGTTCTGTGGCCCAGGGGTTGGGGACCCCTGGTCTAGAGGTTAAATTCACAACAGGATCTTATAAACAGTGACTTCTTTTTTCTCCACCTTCTTAATTCTCTCCTTATTTACTTATTAAATATGCTTATTTAAAACATCAAATAGTAAAATATAAACTAACAAATCCCTTCCCTCACGTCAATCCTCAATCACTTCTTACTTTATCACTGCTAACAATGTCTTGTGTGTCCTTCTAGGAAAAAAGCTTATGACTGCCCCATAATCATAACTGTACATGCTCCTGAGTGTGTCCCCTGTATAGACAGCTATACACCTGCTTTTCTAGGTATCCATTACTGGAGAGGAAAGATCTTATTTCAAATAATCTAAGTTTAAGGCAATATAGTTTTAGATTACTGAAATCTGACGTTGCTTTTGGTGGTGATAATTAAATAATAATGTGATTATTATTTCTTATCAATAGCAGAGGTGGAAGAGAAAACTAGAAGGTTACTTAATATAGAAGCCAAATCCTGAACTCAAATTGTAGAGCAAAACACTGTTGTTTGTTGGTTAACGAAGGGAGAAAATTCAGCAGGTAAATGGTGGATAGATTTTTGATTCTGGAGATTTGCTTCTGAATAAACTGGAAAGAAAAGACAACGGACTTTTTTTTACTGCCTCTAGTTCAGAAATGCATTTCATAAGATTGAGAATCTTATGAGAATCTCAGAAGAAAGACTGCTGATAAGAAAGGAGGGGTTTCAGTATTAACAAATTCACTGAATAACTTTTGAAAAATGACAGCAGGTATAGACATATGGAAACAAGACTTTGAGCTTTTAACTAAGTACTTCAACTGAGAGCATTATCACTTTGGAATCATGCAGAGACCCAACAAACTTCATAATGACCTGAGTCTTCTTTCTTTTGTCCTTAGTCTCCATTCAGCTCAAGAAAATAGTAAAGTATAAAAAAATGGACAGTTATTCAGGCCACAACATACCCAGAACTACTTACTAGATATATTCTCATTCATAGTGTAAAAAACTCTCGCTCCTACTCTGTGTACCCTAACGTTCTTCTCTGTGTCATTTTGATGGAGCATATTTCACTGGCTTTATTACACAGCAGATGGCTGGGTCGTTAAAGCCCTCTTCGAGTCCTACACTGCAAGTATTGAAACTTCATAATAATTCATAAGAAATTTTTCATTTTCTCACCTCTGATCTGGAAAGCTAAAAGCAATCCACCATAGTTACACCATTGTTACATATTTCTCACCTCCTCTTCCTATGTGATTTACAGTAATCATCTTCCTTATTCTCCTCTTACAAATAAAATCATTTCAGATTTCTGAACTTCTCTGTTCCTTTTTTCTATTGAATGAGCTATAATACTTTACCATTCTGAGTTCTTTAAAGGTGCTGGACACTTGGTAAAAAGCCCACCGCATACTGAAGGTGATGTCATGGTCTCTGATAAGTACAGGAATTTGCTCAGCTAACTTTGTCTGAACTCCCTGTGGCTTTCACATATGTTATTGAAAAGGCAGCATATTATCTCTTATTAGCAGACAAGATGGTCTCGAAATAACTGGAAAAAACTCAAATCCACATAAATGGAAAATTTGACAAAAGAAATACAGAAAATGGCCCTGATGGGTCTCAAATAACTATATCTCTTTAGAAAAATCACCTTAAGAGCCCAAGTTACTGATAAAAGAAATTTGGGCTTGTACCTAAAGTGAATCATGCTGGAGGAATTAATTTACTTCATCTCAGGCTGAAAGTTTTCAAATGTCATGGTTCATAAATTCTTATGGCTGGTAGGGCTTTCTGGCCATTCTGCCTCCAAAAATAATCATGGAAGGGCACATCTTCTAGGAGAACAGAAAATTTGCCTCTTCAAAATTAATTAATTCATTTTTCATTTCTTCCAAAGGCTCGGTCACAATCTAGAATTACCTGGGAGTGGGGTTACAGATTTGTTCTTTTATGGACAGTTACTGAAATCGAATTGGAGGATTTCTATTTCTAGCAATATGGTGGACTAATTTTTCTATAGTCCTTCCTATGTGTGAAGTACTGTGAAATTAAAAATCCGCAGGGTAAATTATTGTGGAATACATAAAAGGCTCCATGGTATACGGTGGTCTCCAGAAAGTCAGTGGGATACCTCCCCCTAAGACAGGGCCCTTTCTAGAGGGGCACACCCACACCTCCCTTCTCTTTACCCAATGATTACACACCTGAAGGGTGAGGGAGGAGGCTATGGTTCCCTGGGCAGACAGTGATTTTCTGAGAGGATAGCTCAGCTCTAAAATTTCCAGGGAAAAAGGTACTCAAAAATAAAAATAAAAGCCGCCACCACCCCACTCCCACACCCCAAAAACCAATGGAGGCTCTGGTAAGGTGGAGGATGAGAAGTTCCCACCACTCAGGCTCCCTTTGTCCAGCCTTTTCAAACTCAGGAAATACACTTTGCTTTTTGTAAACTTCTCTGGCTTCTTGAAAGTTGGGGGAAGAGTTGGAGGAAAGTAAGGGGAAAATAGATGTGGCTGCTGATTCCAAGAACACGTGGTTGAGCATGCAGAAAAGCATTCTAAAAGCCAAAAACTATCATAAAGCTCCAAACCTTAGCATCAAGCAGAGTCATCTGGAAAGGCTGTCTTGACTCCTGAGCCTGGATCTGATGGTTCAGCCTCTGCAAGGAATTGTCTGGGCCATGGAAGAGAAGTTCTGCCTTAAACATGAACATTTTGGGGTCCAGTTTGAATGGAAGGAAACTTACCCAGCTAAAATACAGCCTACAGTTTTTACTTCTTAAAAGCTGCTGAAAGAGAAAACATCTTCCTGCCTCAACACTTCCCTTGGTCCTACATTCCCATCTTTTGCAGGACAGTGTAGGTGAGAAGAAGCAGGTTCGAGATGGGGCTCCAGGTAGCACTCCTGTGACTGCCTTCTCAGCCACATCACCTGCCTTATTAGGAACAGCCTGAGGAATTAGTTTCATCTATGCAGGGAAATATATCTACATGTGGCTATGTCCAGTTAGTTGAAATATATCCATCCCAACTTCTGCTTTCCAGCTGCAACCAGGGTGTTGTGTTGGGAGCAGATAAAGTTCTCTAGTCACAGTCAGGCAAAGAGCAGCTGGTCACTTGTGTTTCTCTCCTGTCAGTCTCTAAGATGATCTGACTGGGTCCCACCTCCTGCCAGCAGTGAACTGGGTAATTTGAGCCAACTTTCCCAGTGAACACAACAAAGAAAGCTGGATGAGGTTAACAACAAACAAACAACAAACCTTCCTAAAAGCACCAAAAAGCTAACAAGATAGGGAGGAATTTCAGGTTTAAGATGTGAGAAAAGAAAGAGATCTAGACATGTAGGCCTCAGTACTAGGGGCTGCTTTTACCCAGTTGGAGGGGCTGGGCCTGTCAATCCAAAATAGGAAGCTAGGAAGCTGAGCAGCGTATTGACGGCCTCATGGAATCAAGAGGCCAGGGCCTCCCTGAGGCCTGGTAAACCGCTTTACATTTAGAGTAGGACCCCAAAGAGCTCCAAGCTTGTCTAACCCACCTTATTTTGTTGTTATTGTTGTTCTGTTTTGTTTTAGGCTTTTAGCAGCCTGAAGCCATGGTTTTTAGTTTCTATCTTTAGTGATAAGCGGAAAACAAGGATGAGGAAGGGGCTTTACTGGCCCAACCAGAAATGGAAACTAAGAACCCACGACTGTATTGTCTCCCTTGGACACCCTCTGATAGACCCTAGAAGTAAGACAGAACAAAAAGTAAACTAGTCTGGCTTCATGTCATCTGGGTGATCTAGAAAATCTGAAGCCCCAAAATTGACCCACTATTGCTGATACCCCAGAAAACCTTAAGAAGTTAATTAAAATTCTCTTTTGAACTCTTGTCATCTTTATTATGATTATCCAAAGTCTCAAATTATCAAATGTCCTGAAGTTTTAAATATCACTAATTATATGAAGCACTATGATTTTATGTACCAGTGAAAAAGAAAAAATGCTGTCAACTAGAAGTGTAAAAATTCATGACATAAAACACATACTGATTTCAGAGACTAAAATATAAAAACACTGTACATCTTAAAATGAATGACACATGGTATTCTTACATATATTTTTTCAAAACAATATCCAGCACACATTTAAAGATAATGAGGCACACAAGGAGACATGACAACATAAATATGAACCAGCATGAGAACCAGAACAAACAAAAGACAGGACAAAAAGATGCTTAGGAATTCCAGATAGAAAAATTACCAGATACAGAATGTAAAACAATTATGCTTACTATGCTCATGCAGCTAAAAGCTCAACATAAAAATTACAATAAAGAACCAAGACCCATAAAAAGTAACATTGCAGATTTGAAAAATAACTAGAATTCTAGACTGGAAATTCAGTAATCAAGATTGAGAATGCAATAAATGATGGATTTAACCACAGATTAGATACAGCTGAAGAGATACACTGTGACTTGGAAGACAGGTCAGAAGAAACTATTCAGAATGTATCTTGGAGAGATTAAAAGAAAAGGATGGCAAACACAGGGGAGGGTAAGAGATACAGAAGATAGAGTGAGGAAATTTAAGATAGTAAAATTAACTTGCACCACAAAGTCTCCCAGAAATAGGCAGTAGAGTTCAGATGAAGTTTCTAATATTCCTAACCCTAACTCCCTCCAAGACCAAGTACATAACTGAGGCAGGCCATGTTAGCAAAGATCCAGAGGTAGTTAGCAGTTATTAAAAGTGTATGTGACTGTGGTTACGTTATTTTACTTTTCTAGGCAACACTCTCCTCATGTATAAATGGAGAGACGTGACAGTACCCACTTCAGAGACTGTTGTAAGAATAAGAATTAAGGCCTGAGAAGCACTTAGCAAATGCTCGATGTAATTTGGCTTCCACTAAGAGGATAAAGCACTCTATCTCTCCATCTAAGCTTGCTTCAGGAACTAACAAGCAGCTCTATGACTATCAACAAAATGTTTAGCCTGAAACATGGAACTGAAGATGTTGGAATCATGGAACATGAGGGTTGTATGGAATTCTTTTTTTCTTTTTTCTTTTTTTTTTTTTTTGGGACAGCGTCTGGCTCTGTCACCCAGGCTGGAGTGCAGTGGCCCGATCTCGGCTCACTGCAAGCTCCACCTCCTGGGTTCATGCCATTCTCCTGCCTCAGCCTCCCGAGTAGCTGGGACTACAGGCATCCGCCACCACGCCCCGCTAATTTTTTGTATTTTTAGTAGAGACGGGGTTTCACCGTGTTAGCCAGGATGGTCTCGATCGCCTGACCTCATGATCAGCCTGCCTCGGCCTCCCAAAGTGCTGGGATTACAGGCGTGAGCCACTGCGCCCAGCCGGAATTCTTTATAAAATGGCCACTATACCTATGAGATCAGAGGTTATTGTTTTTCCTTTTGACAAATGACAGGTCATTTTTTTTTTTTAAAAAAACACTACACTCAAATAGATAATTCACCAAAACAACAACAACAACAACAACAAACACCACACCCACCCACACACACACACACACACACACAAAGTCCTATAAAAAATTCTATAGAAAAATGTTTAGCTGTGTTGGTAAGCAAAATGTAAATGAAAGCAATAAAGACACCTTTACTTTGTCACATAAGTAATTACAAAACAAGTATGTTATCAATGGTGTGGTGAAATTTCATCATTTATAGTATGCTATCAATATAAGGTAAACTGGTACACCATTTTGGTAAAGCCATTGAACACAATGCATACACATCCTTGGCTCAGTAATTTCACTCTTTGGAATGTATACCAAGAAAACAATCCAAATTGTAGAAAAAGCACAGACACAAAGTTGCTCATGCAATGACACAGCAGGGAGAAATTAGGAGCAAACTTAATGTTCACTAATAGCAAAATGTTGTGGTAAATTAACGAGCTTCTAAGGATTGAATTATGCAGACATGAAAAATTATGTTCACAACAATGAGAACACAAGGACACAGGGAGGGGAACATCACACACCAGGGCCTGTCAGGGAGTGGGGGTTAGGGGAGGGATAGCATTAGAAGAAATACCTAATGTAGATGACAGGTTGATGGGTGCAGCAAACCACCATGGCACGTGTATACCTATGTAACAAACCTGCATGTTCTGCACATGTATCCCAGAACTTAAAGTAAAAAAAAAAAGCATCAATAAAACTCTGACATTGTGGAAAGACAAAAAAAAATTATGTTCACAAAGAATTTATGTTCACAAAAATTATGTTCACAATAACACATACATTGTTTATTCTAATAAAAAAGCAAGAAAAATTAAAATTATATGTACAATATGGTCTCAATTGTTCAAATGAGCTTGAAAATGGGCTGAAAAACACACTAAAAATACACAGCAAAATACGAATGGGATTAAAGTATCACAGGATCACCGGTAGGATTTGTTTATTCTTCTTGCCACTTTCCATAATGAATATATATTACTTTTTTAAATAGACAAATAAATGTTTTTATTCTAGTTATTTACTGTAAAGATGATACAAAAAAAGCAATAAAGGAAGTTTTTATAAAATAGTCTCATTCCACCAATTGAACCGTCTCAATTTTTCTGTGATAGTTTCAGTACTGCCTGTGTTTACACACACCTTTGGCATAGATGTAATCAGTTCGAATTAATGAGTAGTTCTTTGAGGATCAGGTGCCCTGGAAATGAGACAAGTTATCAAACCCTTTTCCTGCCTGGTCTCCCTACACCAACACACTCTACAACCAGGAAGACAGAAGAACGGTATCCCAGCAGCACTGAGTGTCAAGGGGATGGGGTGAGCTCCTGGCTCCTTGCGCCAGCCTCCCAGCTGATCTCTGTGTGACCTTGGCAAGCCATCTAACCACTCTCAGCCTCAGTTTCTCCAATTATTCAATGGGCAAGCAAGGCTGGCCAGAAACCCCTAAAATCTCTTTCAGGTCTAATTTCTGTGACTGTGTGCACATTTGACCTAAGATCTCCAAACAGGTCTCAACTCGAAAAATTTATACAAATCAGACCTGTTTAAATACAAATGAAAGACTAGCAATGCTTTAAAAGAAATCCCTCCTACAGCAAATCTTCATGTAGAGTGTTTCTTATTTCTTATTTTTAATTTTTGTTAAATCTAGACATTGATACATTGCCAGATCAGTCTTGTGCAGGGCCAGGCATTTATATTTAACATTTCTACACTAAAGCAACAATTAGAACACTGTCTTCCTCACTGAAGCTAAGGTGATCTAAACTAAGGAAAAAGATTAATTAATGAGAAGTCTGAATTATAGTTTCATTTTTAAAGCCTTATTATTTTAAGTTCTTAAAGTCATACAGTCATACATCACTTAATGATGGGGATCCATCTAAGAAATGCATCATTAGTCAATTTCCTGGTTATGGGAACATCATAGAGCATACTTACACAAACCTAGATGGAATAGCCTACATACCTAGGCTATATGGTATGGCCTATTGCTCCTAGACTACAACTCTGTACAGCATGCTTACTGTACTGAACACTGTAGGCAACTGTATCACAGTGGTCAGTATCTGTACACCTAAATATGTCTAAACATGGAAAAGGTACAGGAAAAATACAGTATTATAATCTTACAGTTTCACAGTCCCACATGCAGCCCTTCATTGACTGAAATGTCATTATGTAGCACACAACTGTACTTAAATTACTTGCTCCCCAAAATGAGGGGGCAAGTGTTTCCTGCCTGGCCTGTTTTAATGCAAGGACATCTCATCCCAGGCTCAGGTATTCCAAAAGAAAAGTTTGAATCAACGTACTCCTGTTATAAACTCTTCAAATACCATTAGAGTGACCTGAAAAAGAGTTTCATTCATTTCCCGAGGCAGTAACTTCAGCACTGACCAACCTCGTTTACAAGGTGCAGTAAGTTACTACTACCCACTAGTGGAACACAGAGCCTCCTGCTAAACCGGAACGATCCCTGCCCCTCATTTCACCTATGATGCTGCTCATGTGGACCTGGGGCTGCTGACGATACAGAAGTTCTTACTTTTGAGGGCAGATGTTAACAGAAGTATAGGTCACCCTAGGTTTAACAATTCCATTTTGATCTGTGCTCTCAATTTAAGTCAATACTTTGAGAACATTCTCTTAGCTCCTATCAGTCACAGGTAGGACTAGCTTCCTATTCTTGCAAACACAGCTGTCCAGTCATTCCTCAAAACCTTTCCCAAAGACTGCTTTCCCAAAGACTGCTTTCCCAAGAAGCTAATGAAACTTAAATTCAGAGCCCATCACTTGTCCTCACAGGACCCTTCCAAGGCCTGGGAGGGGTCCTAGCAATGTGCTCCCCTTATCGTTTTGTCGTTTCCTTAAAGAGGGTCCATCAAATTACATAAGCATCAAGTCCACCAGAACTGAATCCTCCTCTGCCATTTTCCTTCCCGACTGGTGGTTACCAGGCACTGCCCAAGCAGCAGGCGGGGATGATCTTGTGGGTAATGGCGGTTCTGCTACCCACAGTTGTGGTATATAAATCAGCCACACTAGAAAAAGAAGAATTTGAGGCTTTATGCTTCAAAAGATGAACTTAATATAATAACCAGATTAGGATATCAGGTCTGAAAAAAAGGATATTTATTCTAATTTATGAAATTACTTATATGAAAAGTTCTGCCATGTTAATTACACATGTAATAGTTCCTCTTTATTGAAAAGAATTGAATTACATTAGATAAGGCCTCTCTTATATGGCATGATACATAATAACCAATAACCCTTAGAACAGTGGTTGTCAAGCAGCAGTGATTTTGTTTCCCAGGGGATACTTGGCAATGGCTGGAGACATTTTGGGTTGTCACAACTTGGGGAGCAGGCTGGTGTTTAGTGCTCCTGGCATCTAGGGGGTAGAGGCCAGGGATGCTGTTAAGCACCCTGTAATGCACAGGACAGCTCCCCATAACAAAAAATTATCTGGCCCATAACATCAATAGTGCCCAGGTTGAGAATAGCTGCCTTAAAATAATGGGCACATATAGGTAAGGAAGCAAGGATTCTCCCTGCAAACGATAAAGCTTTAAACTTTGGAGTGGAATGTATGAGGGCCAAGCTGACAGGTGGCTCACAGAGAGCCACTACCTGACTTCAACCACTGCACCATGATAAACAGCAATGAAGCCTCCAGACTTTCAAGAATCATGGGACTGCAAGGACCCTTGCCAAGACTGGCTATGTGAGGGGGTGGTGGTTTCAGGAGCACCAAGAAAGTCACTTTGCCTCCCCAATTACCTCCAACACCCACTTGTCTGTGCCTGACATTGTCTCATGGTGAACACAGCCTTTCATTCCATTATGAGGCTTAAAGTGCAAAGACCCCTGGAAGAGAGAACACAGTGACCTACATTCATATTTAAGAGAAAGTGACCGATGACAGATTGGTTTTCCCCTGAGACCAGTTTGCATACAGTGAAAGGCTCTCAACAGCTGAAAATGATGGAGAGGAAGAGAGCATAGCAGGCCCTGATGAGGCCAGGAAGGAGTGACGAAATGGGCAATAGAGGTCACTGAAATAAGTGTCACCTACCCTACCGACTCTTTCTGCCTGAACCTGCAAGGAGGGAGGGATGCAGAGAGAAAAAAAAGTCACATTCTTGGCCTTGAAGAAGATTACAGTCAAGTTCAGCTCAGGTGAAAAAACTCCAGGAATGCTTGAAAGAATGGCTGAGATGCAGGGCAGTGCTACCCCACAGCCAGGACAGGAGACAAAGGTCCTTGACAGCTGTGGGATCATGCTGAACCTCAATTGGTTCTGGGTGATGCCCCCCACCTGACACCTAGCCTAGTCCTTGACACAGTAAAATGTTCCAGCAGCACTCGTGTGTTGAGTGAATGGAAACTATTCCAGAGGAAGATCTATCAAATACCTAAAGTACTCTAAATTCGGTTTGTTTTCCTTGACACCTTTGCCAACGCTATTTCCCTCAATTTGGGAGGAAAGTCTTTGTTAGTTGTCTTTGCCCATCTGAATCCTATTTCATCTTGCAAAGCCCGTTTGTTTTCTCTGTAAATTCCGGATAGTTTTTCCCCCTTTTCTTATGAGCACATTCATCTAATACTTACCATATTTTCTATGTATCTTTCATAACGGGCTTACTTACAGAAAAGATTTCAGAGAGGCTTTCAAGTTCACAACAAAAATCCTGTAATATAGTTTTTTATAAAGAATTTAAAAGAGAGGTCTCAGAAATAATTTAGGGAGAAAAAAATCATTGTACCAAGAAGCTGGGATAAAGCCATTACCAGGAATTTCTAGAGGCCAAGGCAAAAAGATAAACATACAAGGCACGTAGAGAGTTCTCAATGTCTGATAAGAGAAAAACCACAGTTCCATGTGGTGAGAATATTTTTTATGTCAAATTCCAGGAGGAATTTGCTCCTGGCTTTTCATATATGCTGCCCAAGTTGTCATTTTACATGTTTATCTCATGAACCAGAGTTCTTTAAGACAAAGACTACGTCTTAGACTACATTTCCCTGATAAATGCCTATATTGCATTGTAAATACTCAAATATTTGCTAATGGATATGATTTTCTCGCCAATCTGGATATTCCAGTGCATCTCAAGATCCTAAGATTATCAGAGTAACAGATTCATCAAATCTCTTAGCAGGAAAACTATTTAATTCCAGTCCTAGGGCCCCAGCCATGGGCAATGATGGGACTTAGACTCTCTCACCCCAACATCACTGGTATCAGTTTGGAGTGAGGGGCTGGAAGGTTCAGCTGGCCCTGTCTTCATGCTTCCCTCTCCCTTCCCCTATTGGTTCCTTCCTTGTTTAGGAGGTGTCTTTTTTTTTTTTTTTTTTATTGGCCAAAATGCAGAATGAAGTTTATTTGAGAAAATCTTGTTTAGTTAGAAACAAGAGGGTGATATAGCCAGGGTTTGTAAGAGGCAGACTTTTAACCTGCAGCAAAAGTGAAACAACGAATTTGAGTCAACTTGCAACCAACCCAACAGGAGATTCACGCATCTGGAGTAATTGAGTTAAAGCAGATTAGGTTCTGGATTAATACAAATCACTAATTTCTATTTGTTTGCTTTTTTTTAGTAATTGAAAAATACATGCAATTAATTTCTGACATGAAGAAAAATTACAATTAATCCCTCACTGCTCAAAAGCAGAATTCTAGGAGTTAGGTCAGTTGTCTAGAACTTCTGGATCAGATGATCCAAGGTTGCTTTGTTATTTAGTTTAAAGCACTGAGTATTCCCACAATAGCTGTTTAAGCACGGTATGACAGTAGCATTAAAAGGGAGGTGTCTTTTTGTCTGTCTCCAGCATGGATTCTCTGTCCCTTTGAGCATTAGGGCTTTGCCTTATTGCCCTTTGATTCCCTGTGATAACTCCATGGTGCTTTATGCAAAGAGGCTGACTTTTCTAATGCAAGGAAACTGAATTGGAAAGAGGTTCCAGAGCAAGCCTTTTTACTATTCAGCCCTGCTCCTGTCTGACAAACCCTCAAGCATAGAAGTGTACCCTCAAGTGTAGAAGACTAGCCCTTCATACACCACACAAGCGGTTTGGAAAGGTTAAAACGCAGGTCACTAAAGGAGTTGAAGACTCGAGGTTCAGAAGATATTATATTTTCTCTCCCTTGTTTCTATCCGTACCCCAAAAGTACACTGGGCAACCCTTCAGCAAAAAAGCCTTTAGTATTTAGTAGGTGCTCAGTAAATACATATTACAATAAGGTCATAGCATAGCTATCTTGAACATAGTAGGTACTCAATAAATATCTGTTACATTGAGAACGTCATGACGCTTCACCTTCGCACGGGGTAGGTGCTCAATACATATCCATTCAATTGAAAAGTCTGCAGTATACCTGCTTTTCACATAGTAGGTGCTCAATAAGTATATTTTACATTAAGGTTATTTAAGATAGCTGCCTTGCACACAGTAACCTCCCAGTAAATGGCTACTGAGCAGTTGTGGACACTCCTCAACCCAGGCAGGGGTGACATTAATCAACCCCCAGGCACAGATCCATGAATGGAAATGCACGTCTCGAGGTAGTGCTTTCGAGAGTGCTGGAGAGGCGCGTGACAGTACGCGGCCGCTGCGCTCTGTCGGGACGCTGCTGACCCACTGCTGGCTCCAGGGTATCGATTAGCGATCGGAATCCATTCCCCACCCAGGGGCGGGAAACAGCCGCCGCCTCCAATGGTCATTTCGGGGACGCACCTGGAACTCCCGCCACAGCCCCCTCCCGGGGCATCCGCCCACCCCGGCTTCACCTACGATTCCGTAGAGTAGCTGGCAGAACAAAAGCAAAAGCCGGCCTGACTTCCGATTGCTTTCCTGATAGAGAGCAACCCGGGAGGAGGCTCAGGGAGCCGGCCCGGGACCCAGCTGGGATGTCAAACCCGAGCCGCTGCCCTCTCCGGCAGGCTGGGGCTCTGGGTCGCCCAGCGGCGAAAGCGGCGGGGTCCCCCCACTCCCCCTCTCCCAGGGGCTACCTACCGCCAGTGTAGGCGCCTCTGTCGGGTGGCGAGGGGAGAGGACGCTGTATTAACCCTTCAACGAGAAAGGGAGAGGCTGGAGGGGAGGATAATCGGGACTGCGATCCGAATCTGAACTCGCAGTGTGAACTGCCCCTCGGCGACCCCAAGCGCTCCGGACTGTCCCCGGGGGTGGGGTCCCCTAGCGGCGCCCGGCCCCTGCGTCCTCCTCCCCTAAACACAACGCGAGGAGCCCAGCGGCAACCTCCCATCCCAAACGGGTCCAGGACAGCACCGGCGCGCGGTCTGCAGGCGAGGAGCTCACCCAGGGCAGCCGGGCGGGTCCCGCGGGAGACCCCCGCCGCTCGGAAACTCGCTAGTTTGGCAGTGGCTTGGCCTGGGGGGCTTATTGTTAGGGTAAGGTGGGGAGGCAGTGCGGGCGGGGAAGTCTCATCTCTTCCCCGCTTCTCCGGAGCCCGCCGAACTCCGAGAGGCGCAGGCGGCGGGAGGAGAAAGCCAGCGGAGGGGAGCCACTTACCGAGGCAGAGCCCGAGAGCGTGGCGGCCCGGGCGCGAGCCGCCCTTTGTCTGCGGCCGCGGCGCCGGCGCGCTCGGCCAGGCCGGTCCCAGCCACGGCGCACGGCGAGCTCCCGCGGTCGCCCCGACAGCCCGGCTCGCTGCTCCAGCTCGGGCTCCGGCTCCCGCCCCGGCCCCGGCCCCAGCCTGCGCCGCCGCCGCCTCGGCTCCGCCCAGAGCCGGGCCCCGCCCCCGCCCACTGGGCCCCCACCTGCTGCGGCGGTGGCGCTGGGGAGCCGGGCCCTGGGCGCCCGGGGGCGGCAGTCTCCCGCGCGCCCTGCTCTGCCCTCCCGCAGCCTCCAGGCCGCTCAGCCGCGCGGTCCTGGGGCCTTCCCGGACCCAGTCCCGCGGAGACGAGCTCACCTGGGGAGCCGAGCCCCGTCCCGGGTAGCCTGGCCTTCCCGGGGCACACGCGGTAGAGCTCCAGTCACTCAGAAGCCCTTCCTCACGCCCGCCGTGGGTGGGGGATCCTCGGGCTCCGTCCGGGAGGGAGGGGGCGCCGAGAAGGCGGGAAGCGGGGATCTGCCTGAGCCCGGTCGCCGCCCCGCCAGCCCCGCGCGGCTGCAGCCGCCGGGGGCCCGGTGGGAGGGTGGGTGGGGAGAAGGAGCCGGCGGGGACCGGTGGGCTCTGGAACCGGGGAGACCCGCGCGCGCGGGAAGGGGCACTGGGCCGAGGGTCGAGGGGGCGCGGAGCCCAAGTGCACCGGTCCCCAGCCGGCCTGGGATTCCGAGCGGGCCGCCTGGGCTGTGAATCTGTGCTCATTGGCATGACCGGAATAAAACTAACAAAAGAGAACCAACACTTTGGGATCCAGAGGAAAGGGACAGAAGAAGCCACTGGACCCTAACACTGGTAATAACTGGTGCTTCTGTGGTGCCTTCAGCGAGCCCAGAGCTGTGGGCACCGATGAGGGTCGTCACTGAACGCGGTGCGTCCCGTTGGAATGGTTGAGGCGCTGCTTTTCTAGGCATAGAAAAGTCTGATAACCTAAATATTGCATAATGAGGTCACTGGTGGCTTTAGCTGCCCATGAGCCTTCTCCTCTCCCAACTCCCAAAGCCTTCCGAGTGAGACCTGCGTTTTGGCACTTTCATAGGGTCTGCTGTGTACTGCAGTTATTCCCGCTTCGTCCCCCACCTCTACCCCCAGACCCTAATACAATTCCAGACGCTTAATAATTGTTGCAAGAATTCGCTGTCGAATTTTAGCGTGGGCAAAACATAAAAATGAAGGATTGTGGGATCATATTGGAAAATGCACTAAGGGTTTGCACAGTGATGGTGGTATGAAGGGTAATGAGTGTTGGCTGCCATTAGTACATAGTTGCGCTGCGACTCCTATGTGTGCAGGTAGTAGGTTTAGGATGATATGCTAAGTTAGAGACTGCAGTTATCAGGACCTTCATTAACCTCAGAGAATAGTTAGGGATAAGGAAGGAGTGTGTAACAAGCGAGTGTGTGTATATCTGTGGTAAGACATTCCAATGTGTCTTCCCCAAAGAGAACATTTTAACATTTTGCTTCCTTGATTTTCATTACAAGTAGTATCAATTCAGCAAGTAGGCATAAATATGAAATGTTTTGTGTTGATTTATTCATTTTTATAACATCTCTTCTATGAAGGAAGAATAAGAGGCCCCAAGGCTGCTCATTTAATCCAAAAGAAACAGAAGGGCAAATGTCCCGCCACTTTAAGCCCACTAACTGCAAAGTGAGGATCTGGCGAGTCCGAATGAAGAGACTGACCCCCATCAACACCTGGAAAGCTCAGAGTCCCCCTCCAGCGTGTTTTTGTTTTTTTTTTTTAATCTGTTTATCTTAGGTCTGGAAGCTGCTCTTGAGAGCAATGTGCTTGTCCACGTGAGATAATTTATCTCTTCCATTTGGCAACTGGGAAAATGTAATTTTCTCTGTGTGATGAGCATGAGTGAGTGGTTCATACATAGTGAATGGCCATCCTCCAAATCGCGGGACAAGAGACTGTGAAATATGCATGTTTAATATCAGTGCCCATTACCGTACGATGGCAGGGGAATGAACAGGAAGCGAGTATCTGTCTGGGGCTCTCCACTGTCAGGTAAAGTGGTGTTCTGTTCTCCTTGCTGCTATCAGGAAACAAGTTATTTCTTATTTTTACTCCATAGGGAAGACTTCTAAAGAAACAGCTGGCTGAAGTCGGTGTCAGTCACTAGAAAATAACTGCACAGAATTCTGGAGTTGGGAAGTTCACCAGGTCATTCTGTTTGAAGACTTTTTTTCTGGGAGGAAAAAAAAATGAGCCAGCATTTCCTTACTGCCTGTGACTAGACACCAGAAGCTGTAACTCGGTAGCTAGGCCAGGGGTGCCCACATCTACAGTAGCCCTGGAGGATATGGGGGCAAGGGGTGCTGCACAGAGCAAAAAAGTGCCCTGTCTGCCTTGCTTAGGGTATTTCGGTATACTTTTCAAAAATATTGTGCTGGCTAAATTTGTCTCCCATGGCACCTGTTTTTGACTCAGATCTAGGTAGAGGAGGGAAGCAACTTAGGTGATTAAACAGATTCCTGACCCCACCCTTTCTGTTCCCAGGAGGAGTTGGCATCGGGGCCAATGACTTTGCATGTGGCCTCTCTTCCGGGGGTAAGCACTGGCCATGTTTGAGGAACCCACTATACCATGGCTTCTAGATGAGGGGATACCCTGAGCAGCCAGGTGCCCTTCTTCCTCTTGGGTTGCTTCTTTCTTGGGAGAGGACTGACGTTTTTTCTCCTTGTCTCTATTTATCTACCTCTTTCTCTCTCTTTCTGTTCCTCCCTCCCTCTCCCTCTCCCTCTCCCTTTCCTTTCCTCCCTCTCTTTTCTCATAGGTCCAGCCTGTCCAGCTATGAAGTTGAGACCAGCCTGGGCTGTTCTCATAGAGTGGGATCTAGGGCCTAGGAATTTGAAATCACACTTTCTTCATTCTTTCTTCTGGAAACGGCTTTCCTCATCACAAGAGAGATGAGATCCAAGATGTAGGATCAACTTGATTGAAGGAAGTGATAAGCTGTGTAAGTTGCTTGGTTCTAGCTATAGACGAGTGATTCCACACTTGCACGCTTATGAGAATCACCTAGGAAAGCTATACGTCTGTGGAGAAAAAGAAACAATAGGCGACTACAGTGGCCCACTTACCAGCATCTGTCCCTGTCTCTCATAGTCTGCCTTCCCTCCTTGTCTTAATATGTTTGTGCTGTTATAACAGAATACCTAAGACTGGGTAATTTATAATGAACGGAAATGTATTTCCCTCAGTTCTGGAGGCTGGGAATCCAAGATCAAGGCAATGGCAGGATTGGTCTCTGGTGAGGGTCAGGTATCTGCTTCCAAGATGGCGCTTCATGGCTGCATCCTCTGGAGGGGAGGAATGCTGTGTCCTCATATGGCATAAGGCAGAAGGGCAAGAGGGCTGAATACTGCATGAGGCCTCTTTCTGCCTGGGCCCAGTGGCTCACACCTGTAATCCTAGCACTTTGGGAGGCCGAGGTGGGCAGATTGCCTGAGCTCAGCAGTTCAAGACCAGCCTAGGCGACATGGGCAACATGTCTCTACTAAAATATAAAAAATTAGCCAGGCGTGGTGGCGCACATCTATAGTCCCAGTTACTCAGGAGGCTGAGGCAGGAGAATCGTTTGAGCCTGGGAGGCGGAGGTTGCAGTGAGCTGAGATCCCACCACTGTACTCCAGCCTGGGCAACAGAGCAAGATTCTGTCTCAAGAAAAAAAAAAAAAAGTCACCCTCCACTTGTGTACAAGATCTCGCTCCTCTCACTTTTGTAAGCACATCTCTCTATAACATGCCTCTCTCTGTTTGATCACCAGTTTTACCTTAATGCTGGGTCCTAAGCAGTAACTTTCAAATATAGTTTAATGTCTCCCATCTTTAAAAAACAAAACAAAACAAAAATACTCTTTTGACCCCATTCTCCTCCAGCTGCTGCCTCAACTCTCTTCTCCCCTTTACAACATCTCCTGGCAAAACAGAACTTGCCTCCTCTCCCGGTCTCTACCTCCTCTCCCCGCATCCTCTGTCTAACCCATTCCAATCATCACTCCATGCTCTGGTCAAGGTCATCACAGACCTCTATGTTTTTAAATCTAATGATCAGTTCTCAGGCTTTATCTTACTTGACCTATCCATCATTTGATGTAGTCAATCACTCCTTTCTCCTGAAATAGTTATTTTTTCGTGTGACTCCCAGGACGCTTCTGGATTTCATCCAACCTTACTGGTCCTTCAAGGAACAATAAATGCTAACTACTAAAAACAACACAGCAAACAGCACACAAAGTGGAGCTGTACTAAAGCCACCAAATTCAGGAATACAACAGAGATGCCTCCTATCACCACTATTATTAATATTGTTTTAGAGACTAAAATAAAGCAGTAAGACATGAAAATGAAATAGTAGATACAAATATGGAAAAGGAAGAAAGAAATTGTTTCATTGTAAATGCTGTAATTGCACAACTAAAAACCTTCAGACTCTAGTTCTTTTAGAAGAACTATTAGAACTAATAGGAGAATGTAGTGGTGTTGCTAAAAATAGTAAAAAGAATAAATAAACCCAAAATCTGGTGTTTAAAAAGAACAATGAAATAGGTAAACTCCTCAGAAGCCTGGTTAAGGAAAAGAGAAAGAAAAAATTAATATTATCAATAAAAAGGTGATATAAGCATAGATTCAGAAGATATTCTAAATATTATCAAAGAAAATGAAATGCAGTTTCCTGATAAGATATTTAAAGTAGATGTTTTTATCTTTTGTCAGACATAGTCCCTGCTTTCACAGAGCTCATAGTCTAATAAGAGAGAGAGATATTAAATACATGCTTACACAAATAAGTGATTTTCCTCTGTGAAGGGTCTAACAAGGGGACCTACTCTCATCTGGGGAATCAGGAAAGGTTTCATGTGGGAGTAAAAATTAAATTGGTTGAAGAACAGAGGAAGAGTGGCTCAAGTAGAGGGAACAGTATGAGGGACACTAAGGAAAAGTTTGGAAAGTTTGAAAGTGTCTCACAGGCTACAGGGTAGGATAGATGGTGGGGAGAGCAGGTGGAGAGAGAGGCAGGGCACAAGCCGTGCAAGGGGTTTGTAGCCCATCACAAGTATTTTGACCTTTATCCTAAGTATCATGAGACGCTCTTTCAACATTTTGAGCAGGGAAGAGTTGAGTCCCTACTGTGTAAATTACTTCCTCTGTAAGATCTGCAAAGATTGTAACCATGCATCAAGGTAGCATTGTCCAGGATCCTTTGTAACTAGCATCACTCGGTGATACCAGATACCAATCCCCCCCTCTTCCTCTGTAGCCCTCAAAATGCTCAATGTCTTATAGGTTTGGGTAGAAATTCTGGCATGTCTTCAAAGCAAGTTAACCCAGGTGACCAGTATCCAGTGGTCACCTGGGGCAGATCTTGACTCTCACCTGACTCCCACAGGCAGTGCAGACCTCTCAGCCTGCTTACTTCCCAGAAGTTTCTTGACTGGGTTGGCCCATCCCAGCAGTCTCTTCTTTCAACCCATAATAGATAAGTCCTCACCAGAGTTTTAAGTACATTTTCTTACCCTTGGTGTTTACCCAGCCCTGTGTTTTTCAAACTACAGATCATAACCCATTATGGGCTGTGAAATCAATTAGGTAGATAGTGCTGGTATTCTTGAAATGATGGAATAGAATAGAATAGAAAATAACAGAGTTCATTGTAAATGATAAGAGTATCACTTATGACATTACAATTTCAGATATATATGTTTGTATGTATATATGCCATAGGTCACACCATTAAATGGTTTTTAAATTATGACCCATGATCAAAAAACATTTGAGATTCAGTACCCTACTTCCTCCCTTCATGTGCTCTGTGTAGAAACTTGAATTTAACTGAGGTCTGACTCTTTTGTCATTTCTCCCTGAGAGTCCAAAGAGTCCAATGATTCTTTTGTTCATTTCTCCAAGTTGTTTTAATTCATCACCTGACCTGCTAAAATGTCCTGTTCCTCTCATACAAACAATATCCTGTTATTAGAATATATTCTGAGTTTTCCCCCTTATCCTGTTGCTTGAGTTTTTCTTTATCACCAACAGTGGCTCATGCTTATAAAAGTAATCCATGGTTTGATGAATAGCCCATATCTTTATGGACATAAAACTTACTGCCTGTGTCTTGTTGGTACCTAATTGAGCTAAACAGCCTCAGAGTGATCTATGAACTTCATCCTTCAATTCCCAAATCATTGAGTATACATTATTGTTTTAGATTCCCAAACAACGATCATGCCAAGCTAGTATGGTCCCTGACATCCAGAAGCCTAGAAGACAATTAATCTAATATTTGTCCTAGTCACTTAATTATCGAGTGCTTACTACATGCTTAGAACAGTGTTATATATTTACACCCTGATGGTTATAACCCGCTGAACAAAGATTCACAGTTCTAACTTTTAAACTTAGTCTATTTGTTCTCTTCCTGTCCTGCCTCACCTCCCTATCCCTAAGTCAGCATGTTCATGGCCCCAGCTTTTCTCAGCATGGATGTGGGTTGCACACATA
Source organism: Homo sapiens (assembly GCF_000001405.40). Lineage (NCBI taxonomy): Eukaryota > Metazoa > Chordata > Mammalia > Primates > Hominidae > Homo > Homo sapiens. The sequence continues at coordinate 268,673 of NW_003315956.1, read as the reverse complement.
TGGAAAGCAGTCTCATACCAACTCCATCAGCACTCAGTAAATGTGGAATTGGATCACTATCTCCAATCCCTCACTCTCCCAATGCCAGATAAGAAATACACTGCTATAATTCAAATGAGCAACACATGGTTGTTGTTGTTGTTTACAGGAACTAAAAAACCTCAAGGGACATTTAAAAATGTGTTTCTAAGTGATGAAATAATTTTCACTTCAAAAATTGAAAATAAATTGTTTCTGGCTCTATGAAGACCATCATCTTAAAATTACTGTATCGTCTGTATTCTATGAGCCTTAGCACACATCCAAGGCAGCCTCTGTCTATGCATCAGAAATTTTACTAGTAATGGCATTTCTTATGGTTAGTCTTGCTTGTGTAATTTTCATGGGAAAACAATAAAAATTATTACTGGGTAGATTAAATACAAATGCGTTTTTAAATACTTTTAATATAAATAACACACAGACACACTCACGAGTCTTTAGTGAAAGCACAATGAATTTCAGTTATTTCACCAGCACATTCAGTCAACTATCAAAGATCAGAAGACACATTTTGCTCAACCAATTCAAGAATATAACAACCTAAAATCTTTTAGGAAGTTCCATTTCTTTGGAAAAAGAATTTGAACAAACCTGAGTCCTCATAAAAGCTATCTAGTGGCCAGGAAGTATGTGTACCCAGAAGGAAAGCAAGGATTGGTGAATTTATTAGGAGTGTATACCTGCATGTCAGTCAGTGTCATTTGTTTTTATAGAACACTCTAGTATGTCAGCTACTTGCTGCCTGTCAATTAGTGGGATTGTCCTTGAATTCTGCAAGAAAGTGTGAATTACACTGGCCATCCTGACACAGGCTGGCCATTCTGACAGGCTGAGAAGTGTAGCCTCCAGCAAAGACCAAAAGCAGACACTTTGAGGGAGGGTAAGATGGAATAAGGATTTAAACTGAACAGGTTGGCCAAGCATACATGTTCAACAGGTTATAGAAGGAGCTATGAATACTCATGAAGAGGGGATACATGCATGTGTAGTAATGAAACATGTCTATTACGGTCAGCCCATGTTCACTTTCAGGTGGACCCCTAACATTTAAATGCATTACAATTCGTCACTATACATCAAAAGGTAAAGCAGAGGACATGAAGGCACTCAGTGCACAGCCTGTGTAAACCAGCCAGAACCAGTCTATGGTCAGTGGTCTTTTAGCAGGATGAAATGACTGAAATCACTCTTGTATCCAATCAAAGCTGTAATTATGGCTTGTGGAATGGTGGGGGGAATGTCAGTCAGCATCTGGCAGTGAGCTGCAATTATTTCAACATTGCTTGTCTTGAGGCTAGTGCTTGTTTAGCTGATAGAGAAAGAGAAGAAACTTTGTGGCAGCACATAGTTTTTTTTTAAGTGTAGGGGGTACATGACTTAACCCTTGCCTAGAGTGGCCTTAGGTCTTGTTTATAATTGGGTATATTATTGCCACAAGGAGTCTATTCTGTCAGTGGTATGATCTCTAGTTGAATACTACTAATAGCCTACTGTTGACTGGAAGCCTTACCAATAACATAAACAGTTGATTGACACATATGTTTTATTTTATATGTATTATATACTATATCCTTACAATAAAGTAAGCTAGAGGAAAAAATGTTCTTAAAAACATCATAAGGAATGCTTATACACAGTTGGTGGGAATGTAAATTAGTACAATCATTATGGAGAACAGTTTGGAGGTTCCTCAAAAAACTAAAAATAGAGCTACCATACGAGCCAGCAATCCAACTGCTGGGTACATACCCCAAAAAAAGGAAATCAGTGTATCTTAGATATAACTGCATTCCCACTGCAGCACTATTCACAATCACCAAGGTTTAGAAGCAGCCTAAGTGTCTGTCAACAGATGAATGGATAAAGAAAATGTGGCACATATACACAATGGAGTACTATTCCACCACAGAAAAATGAGATCCTGTCATTTGCAACAACATGGATGGAACTGGAGGTCACTACGTTAAGTGAAATAAGCCAGGCACAGAAAGACAAACATTGCATGTTCTCATTTATCTGTGGGAGTTAAAAATTAAAACATTTGAATTCATGGAGATAGAGGGTAGGATAGTTATCAGAGGTTGGGAAGGGTAGTTGGAGTGGGGGTGGGAGAGGGAAGTGGGTATGGCTAATGGATACAAAAAAATAGAAAGAATGAATAAGCCCTGGTATTTGCTAGCACAACAGTGTGACTGTGGTAAAAAAATAATTTAATTTTATATTTAAAAATAGCTGAAAGAGGCCAGGCACGGTGGCTCACGCCTGTAATCCCAGCACTTTGGGAGGCCGAGGCGGGAGGATCACCTGAGGTCAGGAGTTCAAGACGAGCCTGACCAATACAGTGAAACCCTGTCTCCACTAAAAATACAAAAATTAACCAGGTGTGGTGGCAGGCGCCTGTAGTCCCAGCTACTTGGGAGGCTGAGACAGGAGAATTGCTTGAACCTGGGAGGCTGAGGTTGCAGTGAGCTGAGATCGTGCCACTGCACTCCAGCCTGAGCAACAGAGAGAGACTCTGTCTCAAAAAAAAAAAAAAAAGCTAAAAGAGTAGTGATTATTACACATTGCATGCCTCTATCAAAATATCTCACGTACCCCATAAAAATATACGTATACTATGCACCCACAAAAGTTAAAAAAGAAAATCATAAGGAGGAGAAAGTATATTCACTATTCATTAAGTGGAAGTAGATCGTTATAAAGATCCCCATCCTTGTCATCTTCACTTTGGGTAGGCTCAGGAGGAGGAAGAAGAGGAGGGGTAGTTCTGTCTCTGGGGTGGCAGAAGTAGAAGAAAATCCACATATAAGTGGACCCACACAGTTCAAACCCGTATTGTTCAAGGGCCCTCTGTACTTCAGTATCATCTCCTAGGAGGTGGCCAGCCTCAGGAAATCATTTCACAGAATAACAATTCTTAGAAAGGTCCAGGGTCTAAAACAAGGTAACTAATTCCCACCTTTCTCTGTAGTACAAGTATGACTTCTTTATGCATTGTTAATACCTATTCCCCAGTTTGGTTTTGTTTTCTGGAAGAAAATCTATGATTATTATAGTTATGCCTAATGTATACCACGTCAATCACAGAAAAGGATTTTGTAAAAGAAAGGGAACTGTAAATGGCAATTTTCAATATTAAAAAGAATATGAAACTATAAAGCATTCGTCTAAGTTTGGTACATCACTCTCAGTTTAGAATTATCCTCAGTATTTTATTAAATAAGGATGGCTGCTGCCCAATTGTGGCAAAGACGAACAAAGCCTCTACCTAATATTGGCAGATGTGGCTGATAATAATAGTCTTCCCCTTCACTGTGGAAGTGGAAGTTTCCTTTGCCTAACTCTAAAGGAACCTGGTTAACAAACGAACAAACAAAAAATGCTCCAATTAAAATGTGCACACAGTCTGTGTTGGATAAAGCTGATACCAAAGCCACTTAGAATATTCAGTTGAGAAAGGTCAGGGCTTTGATGATGCTTTCTTGAGTCTTCAAGAGAAAAACAGGTAAAAAAAATGCATGCAATGAGAGCTTAGCAGGATAAAGGAGCACTAGCCTGAGAGTCTAGTGTGCAGCATTCTACCACTAACTAGCTGTATAAGACTGGACAAGGCACTTTCCCTCTCTGGCTTGTAGTTTTCTCACCTGTATAATAGGGGTGTTCACCAACTATATCAGACTCCTTCTGTGTATCACCTCAGATCTTTGTGGCCTCACATTATTTTGGCTGGCCACCTCAGGGACTGTCCCTGCTCAGGTACCCTCAACATTACCTCACCTCTTATTCATGCTGCGCACTTCTAACCTCCTGCTCTGAGGCTCATCTGCTGCCCCTGAAGTGTGAGATGCTACCAAGACCCTGCGTATAATGGGAAGGTGATGTTTTGACCAATGGGCTCAGGAGCCAGCAGATACACTTTTCTCATATTCTCCCCAGAGATGGATTGTCCTAAGATGCAACAGCTCATATGGACACTCAGAAGAGGGTCTGGCAAATGAGGCAATCAATTGAGGGGGATGCCAAGTGCTGACTAGCTCCTTAGTGTGATTGCATATTTTCTCTCCCTCCTTCCCTGCCCTGGAAGACTGGAAAGACTCGCCTTTCTCCTCACTCCTATTTCCCTGGGACTGCCCACACTCCCTAATAGAGTGGTATCAGATAAGCATTTGTCTTAGGATCTGCTTTGGGGGATTCCAGGCCAAGGCATCAGGATAACCTCTGTTTGTCAATGTCCTAAAGATTCCAAGAGATTGAAACCAGGTATGGTGCCTGTAATCCCAGGAATTTGGGAGGCTGAGATAGGATTTCTTGAGGTTAGGAGTTTGAAACCAGCCTGGGCAACATAGTGAGACCCCATCTCTACCAAAAATTTTTCAAAAAATCAGCAGGACATGGTGGTGCATTCCTGTAGTCCTAGCTACTCAGGAGACTGAAATGGGAGGATCACTTGAGCCCAGGGGTTTGAGGCTGCAGTGAGCCACAATCATGCCACTCCATTCCAACTTAGGCAACAGAGCAAGAACTGGACTCTAAATAGAAAAAAAAAAAAAGATTCCCAGAGATGCACAACCCTTCTCCCACCCACCCCATGAGGAGGAGGACTGCAAGATAGAAATAAAAGTATCTGCTTTATGTAATGTCTTTCCATGTAATGTCCATTTAAAACAAAAAAAAAAGTTCTGATATTAAAATACATTTGAAAGCCCCTGGAGTAGGTAAAATTGGGACAAGTTTGGGAAAATTCATCACAGAGAAAGTGGGTTTCTGATACCTGAAGAATCTCAAGAGAAATACCGTGAGGGTGCTGGACCCTGAGCTGGAGATTCAGGTTTTGAACTATCATCATGTTGTGGGTAGGAGGGGAATCTGGGTTTATGGTTGATATTCCTAGGAAGCATCTCAAATAGGAAGAGGGTTAAGGAAGGAATCTAAAATCAACAATTGCAGCAACTCTCTTCAATGTCCATGCAAAGCCATTCTCCACACTCTACCATCCCCTTTTCCTACCAAAACAACATTGATTTGTTCAGGTTGAGTCTCTTGATTTCAGGAAGGTAACACCATCCCAGGCCTCCAGAGGATGAATCAAGATTGGCTTACAGCCTGATATGTGACCCAGTTCTGGCTGATGAAACACAGCAGGAGGCCTGCTAAAGAGAACATGCTTCCTGAATAAAATGATTGCAAAAAGGGAGAGGTTGCCTCATTTTTTCTTTCTTGAATGTGGATGTGATGCCTAGTGCTGCAGCAGCCACATTGTGATCTTGAGGCAACAAGCATGAAGGGAATACCAAGAGAATCTCAGAGATACTGGACCTAGCATCAGTGAGCAACTAAGCCAACTTTGGCAGCTATATGTCGTCTTCTGTTGTGCAAGAAAAATAAGTCCTTGTTCACTTCAGTCACTGTTAGCAGGTTCTTCTGTTACTGACAGCCAGAATAGTTCCTGAGTCTTGGCAGGTGTGTCAGAAAACCAGTAAGATAAATAAGAAAGAAAGGAATCCAGAAGTCAAAGAAATAGAGTTTTGAGGAAGAGTGGGTAGCTGACAGTACAAATGCTATGAGGGAGTCAAGTGTTATGAGACTGAAAAACACACATGAGATTTTTCAGGAGAGCCATTTCAGAGACACAGAGCGGGCAAAAGCCAGGCAGCGCGGGAGAAAAGGGGAAAGGCATGGTGACATCAAATACAGACATTTATTTCGAGAAGTTTTGACCAACTGTGTATCACACACAATCAAATGTGTTACAATGTTGCTAAGCTTTGACCTAGATTTTTCACTTCTAGGTATCTATCCAAAGGAAATAATTAGAGATACTGACAAAGATTTAGGTAGGAGTATGATAATTGCAGCTTTATTTATAATAGAGAAATGCTGGCAACAGTGTGAATATCAAGCAACAGAGGAATTGTTAAATAAATTATGGTATGTCTTCATGGTGGAATATTGTTCCAGCCAATGTACATGATATTTTGAAAGAAATTTTTAATGACATGAATATTTATAATGAATCCAATAAAAAGCACCAGGCTATAAATATGATTATAAAGTTGTTATGTATAATGTATATTATTTATATGCAAAGAGAAAGGCAGGAAAGAAATACATAAAAATGTCAAAAGTTACAGAAGAACCTCTTAAAATTTGCATTTTCCTGTGTTGTTAATAAATTAGCATTTATTATTTTTATAATCAGAAAATTTTGTTTCTAAAAAATAATGAAATTTGCTATGAAGGAAAAGAAATGGAATAGAGGCTATACAGTTGGCACTGGAAGGACATATACCTGAAAAACTAGCAGGTATATTAAATTCTCCAAAATGAAGTCTATACGGCACATCATGTTGCCCTCTGATATCAAGCGGCTGGGAACTTTGGAAGCAAATTTGATGTTTAGTCACAAGTTTATCATTTCCTTTTCTTTGTATATTTGGTTTATTTCCTTTCTTGGGCCTCAGTCTCCTTCTCTGCAAAGATAAGAGGAATGTTGAATAATTTAGTGCAGGGGGATGTGTCAGAGCCCATCCCTATAGCCCAAACCCCTATTGCCAAAAGACAGAGGTAAAAGACAGCAAATAACCCTTATGGCAAGATCCAGGTCAGAGACATTTATGTGGACTGAAACCAGTAGATAGCAGATGGACGATTAATCCCCTTCTACTCAGAGGACATTGCATGATATCAGGCTGGAAAAGGCAAAGAGACTCTCATTCATGGTACCCAGGCAAAGGATCTTGTTATATCTGTGGCAGCATCACAACAACTTGGCCATGGAGGAGGCCGGTCTCTCGAGGGCAGATGGGCAGGAGGCAGTGCTGCAGATGAAGCCACCGAGAGGCTACCTATCCAACATACATGCAGTTCAAATTCCCTGCCCACCTTCCAACCCTCCCCTCACAGGCCCAGGTTCTTGGCCTTAGCTTAGGTTATTTGAGTCTTACGAGGCCATCAAGGCTCATGACCAGTGATAAAACAGTCATTTTCCTCTGGACAGATTTTATTCTCTGCCTTTCCTTAAGAAGAAGTAAGGTACATGGTTGTTAGGCTGTCAGTCATTCTATGCTGAAATCTCATTCTGCTATAGGCACACACGGGCTGCGTCATGACATCCCACTCAGGGAGAGGACTCAGCATGGGAGGGAGGCAGTGGCCAAGCATGGAGGTTCCTCCTCCTCCCATGACAGAACCTTCTGTATGTCCCAGGGTGATGATGAGGGAGGGTCAAATGAGATAATGAATATGCAAACATCTGGCAAACCGTGAGAAGCTGTATGAATGTAAGTCGTTGTTACCAAAGCAGGATATTTCCCCGACCCCTTCACAGGACTCGTGACAGGGGTGCCTCATTTACTCAGCCCGCCACTCCAAACTCCTCACGGGAGGAAGCGAGTGAGTGAATTAGTGCAAGAACTGGAGTGAATTAGTCCAAGAACGAGCGGCGGAACCAGCCAGCCGCTTTGGCGCCGGCAGGAGTGAAATTCTGTGCAGGCCCCGCGGTAGCATCCAGGCGGTGGTGCCTGCAACTCCCGGAGCCCCAGAGGCATGCCACAGTGCTCTTTTAGCTTTGCCTTCCGTGGATTAAGTGTTAACAGTTCATTGGGCCCCTTTCCTTTTTGCATGAGGCGGCTGCCCTCAGCCAGTGAGGGCAAAGGGCCAGTGTGACAGTCTTTTGTATCCACACTCATGGCTCCCAAGCTCTTGTCTGGCGTCCAGGAAAAATGAGGTCGCATGAACAAATTGAAGGATGGTAAATGCAGGAAATTTGATTGCCAATGAAAGTAACTCTCAACAGGAAAGGGAGTTGAAAAGGGGATGGGGCGGGTAGGTAATCTATCCCTGAAGTGCAGCCGTCTCCAGCTGGATTCTTCTCCAAAGTTATCCTGTCAGGCTGTCCCTCTGAAGTCAAGCTGATTCTCTCTGATGTCCAGCCATAGTCCCATCTACCAGCTGAGTCTGGGTTTTTATAGGCACAGGATGGGGCAGGACGGTGCCATGGGTGGTTTAGGAAAATGCAACATTCAAGCCGGAAAACAGGGATATAAGTTCTCACTTTAGGCTGCGGTTTCAGGCTTTTCAGCTGGAGGGTGGTGTTTCACCAGGGACCTGCACTTTTCTGCCTAGAATTTCTCTTCCCTATGTCCCTATCATTATGACTACTACCCTAGGCAGAAGCCCAACTCGAAGATGGATACTCGGCCTGTTTCACTTTTCTAGCCTCCAAGTCATTGAGGAAATCCTCATGCAAAGAATTAATCATATGGTGGTGATTGTTGCACAATGTTATGAATGTACTTAATATTGCTAAACTATACAGTTAAAATGTTAAGATGGTAAATTTACAATGTGTATCTTGCCACAATGAAAATGGAAAAAAATCTTTAAATAATAATAATAAATAAAAAATGGTATCAACATTCAAATAAAGAATTAATTCTAGAACCTGGTTATTGCTTTCTTTTATTTTTTCAAAGTAAAAGCAAGTTTATTAAGAAAGTAAAGGAATAAAGAATGGCTACTCCATAGGCAGAGCAGCTGCATGGACCACTCTGATGCTTATACTTATTGTTACTTCTTGATTACATGCTAAAGGAGTGGATTATTCATGAGTTTTCTGGGAAAGGGGTGGTCAATTCCCAGAACCGAGGGCTCCTTCCCTTTTTAGACCATATAGGGCAACTTCCTGATGTTGCCATGGCATTTGTAAACAGTCATGGCACTGGTAGGAGTGCCTTCTAGCATGCTAATACATTATAATTAGCGTATAATGAACAGTGAGGATGACCAGAGCTCACTCTCATTGCCATCTTGGTTTTGGTGGGTTTTGGCCGGCTTCTTTGCTGCAACCTGTTTTATCAGTAAGGTCTTTATGACCTGTATCTTGTGCTGGCCTCTTATGTCATGCTATGACTAAGAATGCCTAACCTCCTGGGAATGCAGCCCAGTAGGTCTCAGCCTTATTTTACCCAGCCCCTATTCAAGATGGAGTCGCTCTGGTTTAAATGCCTCTGACATTTTCCCCCTCCCTTTTACAAGGATTGTAGAGGAACAAAGATCCATATTCTGTAACTTCTTCAGGCTGAATAGGGCGATGATATTCCTGCCTAACTATTAGGGTCTCTTGTATTCAGAGTAGAGAGGAGCTCAGTCAGAAAGCATCTATATGGTGAGGCCATTTATAACTTTGAGTCCTAACAAAAGGTGATATCTGGCAGATCAATAAGTATTCAATTTAAGAAAACGTTGAGTAAGCTTATCCTGCACTCCTACACAAAGAGTAGAATAGCAAATATATTTCACAACAGTAAAGTAAAATAAGTAAAACTATCCCAAGTAAACTAAATAAGAAGGCTTTCCATGAACTGGGCAACTGTTGGAACCAAGCTGATATGGGGTTGCTGGCTGATTCCACTACGTGCCCAGAATTAGAATATCGATCTAGATTTTTACATTACCTATCCCTCTTGTTTCTTCTGAGCAGCAGTCAGAGATCACTGAGGTTCACAGGAATAAGCAAGGTGAGTCTAAATTGCAGAAGAAAACCTCAAAAACAGCTGATAAGACTAGAATCTAATAACACATGTACCATAGTTTTTGAAGCATACTTTTTCTCTCTCCAGTCTTCCATTTTTACTTAAGACAAATCATGGCAAGACCAATTTGCTTTATTATACTTGGCCTGATTATTTGTATGAAGTGCAGCAACAATAATTATTTTTCACATAGGCTTTTAAAATTGCCTTTGATGGAACTCTGTTTCATAAGGAATCTCAGAGGACTTTTTAAAAAGCTGAGCCCAGCCATGGGTTTGTACCCTCAAATACCTATGAGTTGAGTAAATCTCTCTCCTCTTGAGGTCCCTAGATAACCTGGGGATCCTGGACCTGTCAGAAAGTGATTTTCTTTACTTAGGGTACTGCTTTCAATTTATTTCAGCAAATGGATTGCTCCAACATTCCTAAAACCCTCAACAGAATTTATTTTTGAGACCAGAAAAATTTGTTTTGAGACAGACTCTGTCTCCCAGGCTGGAGCGCAGTGGCACAATCTTGGCTCACTGCAACCTCCACCTCCCAGGTTCAAGTGATTCTCGTGCCTCAGCCTCCCCAGCAGCTGGGATTATAGGCATGCACCACTATGCCTGGCTAATTTTTGTATTTTTAGTAGAGACAGGGTTTCACCATGTTGCCCAGGCTGGTCTTGAACTCCTGGCCTCAAGTGATCTGCCCGCCTCAGCCTCCCAAACTTCTGGGATTATGGCCATGAGCCACTATGCCCAGCCACCCTGAAAATTTGATTCCTGAAAAATTTGGCCTAAAGGAAGAGTAAGTGATAGTTTCTGTATAAAGGAAAGAGAAAAGACAAATGGGAATGTTCAAAGGGAGTCTTTCTTGACATGGTTATCTGTTGAAATGGCTACTTAAATTGTGTGAACATTTAGGGTAGGGGCAGCAGGCCTCATCTGAGAAGGGCAGGTGTGCTTGGGGAACAAGGCTGCCCCACTTGACAGCTTGATATTCAGCTCCTCTGAGAGGAGAAGCCAGGGAGAGTGAGCCTGGACCCTGGAACATTGCTGCTGAGAGCAGGGGGTCTTTCCAGAGGGGCTGGTGAAACAGCTGTCCTTGAGCCCCGATTACCAAAAGGGTGATAAGTTAGTGGGTTAATGAAAAAGAGCAAATGGGCCCCGATGCTGGTTGAACATGAATGAATTGAGTATATTCTGAGGCCTCATGGGTGAGAAAACAGGGATAAAAGCCCTGCTTGGAGTTAAAACTAATGTGCAAAGCAATGACCTTCTGTGTTCACTACAATGGTTACCAAGTCTGGAGAAGAGCAAGAGTTAAAGTTGCTTATTCAATGAACACGTGTTTACTGGACACTGCTATGCACATAGTAAATTCTAGACACAGTGGTGAAAATAACCCAGTGAACTATCATCTGTAGGTTTTGCCCTGAAGTTACTTACAAGCCGCTAGGGAAGAGAAGTTAAATCATTTGACAGAGCCGAATGATGTCACAGGCAGGAGATAAGTGACAGGTGAAGGCCCTAACGAAAGTGCTAGGAGTAGAAAGAGGGAGAGATGGTTTGGGGACTAGAGGGTCAGGGAAGCTTTCATGGAGGCGATGCAAGCTGACCTCGATCTTGAAGGATGCACATACATTGAACAGTCAGCAGAGAGGGAGTTGGGAGCAGCATGAGCGAAGACCAGGAGGCAGGAATGGATGTGGTGAATGTAGTGTATGCTGGCAGCAAAGGGATAACCTTACTCTAGGAAAGGCTTTATGTAGGGGGATGATGGAAATCAAGGTTAGAGAAAAACTTAGCTTTTGATTGCAACCTAGAAAGGGGTTTGAAATGCCTCAGAGGCTAAGCCTGTGTGCTCATGCAGGGGAGGGTGCTCATACAGACAGTGTGTCTGTCTTTGGGCCACTGTATCAACTCTACAAACCACAGGTAAACAGCAGCCTGAGGCAGTCCCAGAGCATCAAGTGTGTGTTGTGTAGCTGTAGACAGTGGGAACAGCAGGCAGGAACCTGAGAAAGGGGACTTAGAAGACAAGGGACTTAAAAACACCTAACAGTGCTTTCTGGGAGGGGGTTGGGCGAGGGGCATTTGAAATAAGAGATTTGAGGAAATTCCTTCATAGCCTTTGCATTTGCAAGTTCAGCATATTGGAAAAATAATTGCAAGCTGAAAGTAAGTGATGGCAATATCTTTGTCCTCTTTTTCCCCTGGACATCCTCCTCCATAGCTCCTAATAGTTAGGAAATGGGCATACTCAATGTGGAGAGATGTTGATTTAAGTGTCATTAACTCTTTTTTTTTTTTTTTTTGAGACAAGGTCTCGCTCTGTCACCCAGGCTGAAGTGCAGTGGTGTGATCATGGATGGCTCACTGCAGCCTTTACCTCCCAGGCCCAAGTGATTCTCCCACCTTAACCTCCCAAGGAGCTGGGACTACAGGTGCACACCACCATGCCTGGCTAATTTTTTGTTATTTTTGTAGTGACGAGGTTTCACCATGTTGCCCAGGCTGGGTATCATACTCTCAATTTTTTGGAGAGGTTTTAATACGCTTGCGTTTGATGCAGGTCTTCAATCCTCTGTTCACCCCTTAATCTGTCCACCTCTAGGCAATACTAGGGGTGTTTATTATTCTCCTGAGCTAAAAGGAGGTTTCAAGCTGGTTCTTGTGAGTCCCACACAAGTGTAGGTGTGAGTGCAGCAGGGAGGCGCCTTTCCCTTTGACTCCACACCTCCATCTTGGCACGTGGTTAAAAAGGGGTGTGGGGTGGGTGATGGTGTGAGCTAAGTCAAATCAGGCCTCCGCAGTCTCAGGGATCAGATGGCACAGAGCATTCCCACTGGATGGTCAGAGGGGCTGTGCTGGCTGTGGAAGGGAGGCCTTCTTGGATGGCAAGTGGGAAGACAGACACTTGTGGCCCAGGCAGTACTGAACCCCTTCAAAAGGACATCCATCGTTCTGCAGTTGTGGGCCCACTTTCCAAGTAACTCCTCAGCAGTTGATGCCAAGACACCATTTCTCACCTTTTGATGTGAGAGATAGCCAAATGTTTGACAAGCCCTTATCAAGAAGGCTGTGGGAAAAGTTACCCCCTTTTGCTGAGAGAGTACAAAGTAGTACAAGTCTGTGAAATAAAATGTGGCAATATCTGCCAAAATTACATATGCCTGTATGTTTTGCCCCAGTAATTTCACTTCTCGGAATTTATCTAAAGTTAATCCTGCACACATACGACATAATGTTTATCAAAGGGGCTCCTTGCAGCCTAGTTTGTGATAACAAAAGATTGGAAATGACCTACGTCCATTCAAAATGCACTGGGTAAATAAATGGATACATCTGCCCAATGGAGGATGTAACTTTTAAAAAAAAGTAATGAGGAGAAGTTTTCTGTACTGATATGGAAATATTTCCAAGATGTGTTAAATTAAAGAAGAACAAGGAGCAGAACAGGGTAAGGCTTCTACATTTCCAAGAATAACTTTATAGAAATATATGTCTGGAAAGGTAACTCTCCATTTTAGAAGCAGAGACACAACTAAAAGAAGAGGCATTTTTTAATCTACACTCATGACAGTGTAGACAGAGAATCCAAAGCCATCTACAAAACCTTCAAGACATACTAAAAGTTACTTTTATAGAATACAAGATCAATATAAAATCTCAGCTGTATTTCTATGTAGTAATAACAAGCAATTGGAGAATGTAATTTCTCAAAAGTATTATTTACAATATCGTCAAAAAGCACAAAATACTTAGGAATTAGCTTAACAAAAAATGTGCATGACCTTTACACTAAAGGTAAAGTAATTTCACTCCTAGATATTGGCCCAATGAATACCTAACACTAAAAACTTTAAAGTACTGATAAATAAATAGAGAGATATACCATGACTGTTGATTGGAAGACCTGATATTGTTAAGATGTCAGTTCTCACCAAATTGATCTGCAGATTCATATAATCCCAACCAAAATTCATTAGATATTTTTGTTGGAATTGAAACGTTGGTCATAAAGTTTATATGGAAATGCAAAGTACCTACAACAATCAAAACAATTCTGAAAAAAAAAGAACAAAGTTGGAGGATTTATACTATCTTTTAAGACTTATTATAAAGCCTTAGTAATCCAAATAATGTGATATTGGCATAAGGAAAATAAAATAGATCAGTGTAACAGAAGAGAGAGTCTAAATATAGACCCATATATAAACAATCAATTGGTTTTTTTGTGTGTGTGTGTTTTTCCTTTTTTTTTTTGAGACAAGGTCTCTTGTCTGTCACCAGGCTGGAGTGCAGTGACATGATCTTGGCTCACCGCAATTTCCACCTTCCGGGTCCAAGCAATTCTCGTACCTCAGCCACCCAAGTAGCAGGGATTACAGACATGTACCACCACACCTGGATAATTTTTGTATTTCTTGTAAAGACAGGGTTTTGCCACGTTGGCCAGGCTGGTCTCGAATGCCTGGCTTCATGTGATCCGTCTGCCTTGGCCTCCCAAAATGTTGGGATTACAGGCGTGAGCCACTGCGCCCAGCCTGATTTTTGACAAAGGTCCCAAGGTAATTCAATAGGGGGGAATAAAGTGTTTTTTAATAGTTGGTGCCAGAATAACTTAATATTTGTATTTAAAAATTAATCTTGATTCATACCTTATACTATACACAAACATTAACATGAGAAAGATTGTAAAAGCAAAAACTTTAAAGCTTCTAGAAAAAAATAGGAGCCTCCTTCATCATCTTAGGTTAGGCAAAAAGTTTTCAAGACACAAAACACACTAACTATAAAAGAAAAGCAGGTAAATTGGATTTCAGCAAAATCAAATATTTCTGCTCATCTGATTGCATGATTAAGAAATAAGTATTCAAACCACAAACTGAGAGAAAATATTTGTCATTTATGCCTGAAAAAGACTTGTCTAGAGAGTAGAGAACTCTCATAACTCATTAATAAAAAGACAATCTAATAAAAAATGGACAGAAGACTTGATGAGAAACTTGATAAAAGTAGTATATGAATAAGCATATGAAAAGATGCTCAACATTATTTGTCACTAGGGAAATGCAAGTTAAAACCAAAATGAGGATGGGCGCCGTGGCTCACGCCTGTAATCCCAGCACTTTGGGACGCCGATGGGGGTGGATCACAAGGTCAGGAGTTTGAGAGCAGCCTGACTAACATGGTGAAACCCCGTTTCTACTAAAAACACAAAAATTAGCTGGGTGTGGTGGCGGGTGCCTGTAATCCCAGCTACTTGGGAGGCTGAGGCATGAGAATCACTTGAACCCGGGAGGCAGAGGTTGCAGTGAGCCGAGATCACACCATTGCACTCCAGCTTGGGCAACACAGTGAGAGTGTGTCAAAAAACAAAGAAACAAACCAACAAACAAAAACAAAAAACCAAAATGAAATAGCATTACATACCCACCAGAATTGCAAAAACTAAAAAGCTGGACAATATCAAGTGTTAGCGAGGACATGTAGCAGTAGGGTTTCTCACATAAGGTACAGGGGGTAGAATATGATACAAGCACTTTGGGAAAACATTTAGTGTTTCTTAAAGAGTTAAACATTCTCCAACCCTGTGAGTCAGCAACTTTACTCCTAGATATTTTCCCAAGAGAAATAAAAACATGTGTCCACAAAACACATGTTTCCACAAACATGTAGGAAAATGTTCATAGCGGTGTTATTCATAATAGACAAAAACTGGAAGTAACTCAACTGTTCACCATCAAGTGAATAAGCATATTGTTGTATATTCAAACCATGGAAAACAACTCAACAGAAATACTACAATGAAACAGCATTAAGAAATTTCAAAAACTTATGCCGAGCAAAGCAATCCAGACACAAAAGTGTACATACTGTGTTTCCATTTATATGACGTCCTAGAAGAGGCAAAACCAAACTATTAGGATAGAAATAAGACCAATGGCTCTTTGTCTGGGTTGAGAGTGTGAAGGATTGACTGGGAGAGGACAGGAGGAAACCTACTTGGGTGATGGAAATGTTGTGTATCTTGACTGAGGCAGTGATTGCATAGGTGCACCAACTCATCAAACTGCACATTTTAAAAACTATGTATTTTTAAATGTAACATACACCTCAATTTAGAAAATGTATAGGCAGATTTGAGACCAATCAAACTTTCAGAAATGAAATATAGTCATTGAAAATAAGAACACAATGGGCCTATTCATTAGTGATTGGATGCAGCTGCAGAGAGCTTCAGTGAGATGGCAACACTGGGTGCCTGCACCTGTCTCAGAGGGCTGCCCTTGCTGCTGCCACCTGCCCAGCCCCATGAACTCCATTCATACAGAGCTCCAAGCTTATGCGCAGGGATGATGCCTGTACAGGAGCTATTACTGAATGGGCACGGCCAGAGCCAGCAGTTGTGCTTTGCCTACCCCTGATTCTGGAGCTAAATGGAAGCCTTGCTGAATTCAAGCCAAAGGGAGAGATTGAATCCCAAATGGAGTTCACTCTGATGTGTGGGAACCAAAGTACCATGTCATGTATCCCAGCATACCACAGAGATATGGGGAGTGAGAAGATTTCTCTCCATTTTACCCATGTAAGCCTTCTTCTCTAAGACTTAGTTATGAATTTATGGGGCTTGAGAGGAAAAATCTGATGAACATCCTGAAAACCTCAGAATCACCCTTCCCCTTTGATAGCTGAGGCACTGTTACTGAGCCAGCATGCGGGCCTGGCCTTCACCCTCGGGAGTTCTTTCCCAGTTAACATGTCTCTTTCTATTTCTCATGTGAATTTTGAGAAAGACCTTGAAGGAATCTACTTCAGAAAGCTATGAAGACATAATCTCTGACCTAAAGGAACATACCTTTAATACTAGCCTCTCATTGTTCATGGCTGCAATATGTGATTATTTTCAAGGAGTTGGAGATTTCTCAAAATGAGTAAGTTGCATTCTGAGTTGGTTTTCCACTTTCTAGCCCAGCGCTGTCCAATACAACTTTCTGCAATGAAAGCTGTGTTATTCAGTTCAGTAGCCATTAGACACAAGTAGCATTTGAACACTTGAAATGTGGCTAGTGTGACTGAGAAACTGAATTTTAAATTTTACTTCATTTTAACTAATCTAAATTTCCATTTAAAATGTCACATGTGGATAGTAGTTCCCATATTGGACAGCACATGTCTAGTCCTTACAAATCCTAAAGAAGTACTTACAAATCCTAATGTCAACCACATTACAGCAACCTGCGTCTACCTTCCCTGCATTAATTCTGGGACTGTTTAAGGCAAATGCCATCTCATGAGCAAAATTAAACCTCTCTTGTGGGCACATATGTGGTTTGCTCTTTCTTTTGTCTCCTAAGTAGTGCCTAAATATGTGGCATGGAGTTAGCCACGTAATATTTAACAGTTATTATTTAGAAAAGCAGATAATGTGAGGAAGAAATGAGGGGAAATATTGATCAAAGTTGGATCTTCCTGTCTTCACCTTCTTCACCCCATTCATTATGTCTGTATTCAGTGGATCTACCCATCTCTGTCTCCTAGTCTCACCACATGGGCATTGCCAGACCTTAAGCTAGCTAATGACAGTATCTAGCTTCTCTGACTCTGTCACCAACCATCACGAATTCTGCCAGCACTCAAAGCCTGTAATTCTTTTAGGCATACACACACTGCAAGATGACTATGAAAATGGTGGAGTAGAGAACTCCAAGAGATGAACTCTTCACAAAAACAGTGAATAAACTGGCAAAAACTGTCAGAATCTATTTTTTTTTTTTGAGACAGGGTCTCACTCTGCCACCCAGGCTGAAGTGCAGTAGCATGATCACAGCTCACTGCAGCCCGAACCTCCTGAGCTCAAGCAATCCTTCCACCTCAGCCTCCTGAGTAGCTGGGACCACAGGTACATGCCACCATTCCCAGCTAATTTTTTTTTGTAGTTTTTATAGAGACAAAGTTTTGCCATGATTCCCAGGCTTGTCTCAAACTCCTGAGCTCAAGAAATTTGCCTGTCTTGGCCTCCCAAAATGCTGGGATTACAGGCATGAGCCACCGCACCTACCCTTTAAAAACTGTCAGAATCAATTTTATTGGAACTCTGGAAACTAGTCAAAGGTTTACAACAACCAGACTGATGCTTAATCAAGAAAAAGGAGGCTGAATATTGGTAAAACAACTTTCAGCATTTTAACTTAACCTTCCCCCATCCCCTCCTCCCAGAAGCAACAGCTGTCTTAAAGATGGCAGCCTGCATTCTAAGTGTGGGTTCCTGGTACCAGACAAAATGGAGTGTACTTTGTTCTCAAAGAATTGTGGGTGCTTGGTGTGACCTGTCTGGTGGGTCCTTGAAGAACTGGTGGAAAGGACTTTCCTTTCTTTTTCTTAATTCAGAAGTTTCAAAGAGCAGAGAGGCAGCTACCTGGGGGAGCATTTGTCAGAAACAGTTTAAGGCAAATGTGTTCACCGCTGCTGCCAGGACAAGGGATAACAGTTGGGGCAAATAATAGACATATCAGAAAGCTTGGGAGAAGAGGGTGGGGAGTGAGAATGGGGCTGTGAAAAGCTACCACCTATTCCTGAGAATCTAGAGGCCATGCATATGTCCAGGGCAGTGCGTATGCTCAGGAGAAACCTGAAAGGCTCTAAGCTTTCACCTCTGGCCGACCTTCAGGCTCTGCACAAGCAGGAAGTAAAGACTAAAACAAAGTTGTAAAATGCCCAGCAGAGTGTTGAAGATATGCCCAACACACACACACACACACACCACACCACACACATACACACACACACACCACACACATACACACACCCCAACACACACCCCCACACCACACCACACACATACACACACACACACACACCACACACATACACACACACCCCACCACACACACACACACACAC
This sequence comes from Homo sapiens, assembly GCF_000001405.40. Classification (NCBI taxonomy): domain Eukaryota; kingdom Metazoa; phylum Chordata; class Mammalia; order Primates; family Hominidae; genus Homo; species Homo sapiens. The sequence continues at coordinate 250,204 of NW_003315956.1, read as the reverse complement.
ACACACACACGGAGAGAAAAAGAAACACACAGCCCATCTGCAAAGGCTGGGAGATTTTCTCTGGTTTTGGCTGCAGGCATTTCATGCACTCTCTGTCAAACCACTATCTGATTATTAAGCTAAACAGAGAGACTTCAGTGGCCACATGTGACAAAGAACACAAATGTTACAAAATTAGTTCAGAAAAGTCACCAAACAAACAGAAACCACCAGCATTAACATAACAACAAACTCTGAAGAGGGAGGAGAATCTGATTTCCAGAGTTGCCACATTATAACCTTCAAAGTGTCTAGTTTTCAACAAAAAATCATGAAGGATGCAAAAAATACCCACAACGAAGTATGGCCCATACATAGTAAAAAAAGAAATTAATAGAAACTGTGCCCAAGGAAGCCCAGATATTGGACTTATCTGACAAAAATCAACTACTTTAAATATGCTCAAAAAGGTAAAGGTAACCATGTATACAGAATTAAAGGGCATTATGAGAATGATGTCTCACCAAATAGAGAATATCAATAAAGAAGAAACCAAATACAAAGTCCAGAGTTGAAAAGTACAATAATCGAAATGAAAAAATTTGCTAGATGTGTTCCACAGCAGATGTGAATTGACAAAAGAAAGAATCAGTGAATTTGAAGATAGATGAAGTGAGATTGCCCAATCTGAGCAGCAAGACAAAAAAAAAAGAAGGAAGGAAAATGAACAAAACTAAGAGATCTGTGGGAAACCATTGAGAGTTCCAGTGAATGTATAATGGGAGGTGCAGAAAAAGAGAATAGAAAGGAGAAAGAATATTTTAAGAAATTGGCCAGGTGCAGTGGCTCAGGCCTATAATCCCAGCACTTTGGGAGGTCGAGATGGGTGGATCATTTAAGGTCAGGAGTTCAAGACCAGCCTGGCTAATATGGTGAAATCCTGTCTCTACTAAAAATACAAAAATTGGCTGGGTGTGGTGGTGCACACCTGTAGTCCCAGCTACTTGGGAAGCTGAGGCATGAGAATCACTTGAACCCAGAAGGCAGAGGTTGCAGTGAGCTGAGATCGCACCACTGCACTCCAGCCTGGGCAACAGAGTAAGGCTCTGTCTCAAAAAAAAAAAAAAAGAGAAATAATGGTTAAAAAGCCCTATATTTGATGAAAGACATGGATCCACACATTCAAGAAGCTAAGCAAACCCCAAATAAATAAAGAGAATCACGCTGAGATATATTATCAAACTGTTGGAAGACAAAGAAAAAAAGGGAATTCTGAAAGTAGTAAAAGAAAAGCAACTTGACACATACAAGGAATCCTCAATAAGATCAACAACTGATTTCTCATCAGAATCCATATGGGCCAAAAGACAGTGGGATAATATTCAAACTGCTGAGAGGAAGAAAACCCTGTCAACAAAGAAGTCTATATCCAGCAAAAAAAAAAAAAAAAAAAAAAAAAATGGCAAAATGGATTTTTAAGCAGTAATATGGAGCTTTACTTTGATACAGTTTAATGAAGTCATTTTGCAACTTCTCCCAGTAAATCATTTTTTGCCTTTAGATACACACCTCAGTAATTCCAGTTCTGCCAGGGTGATTATATAACCTGGTCTATAATTGCAGGCCTATTTCTGGATGGAATTTGCCATGGGTCCCAGTGGCAGGTTTAGATTGTCACATGAAGTACATGGTTGTTTCCAATGTCCCTTAAATGCAACATCTCCAAAACACAACCCTGATTTTTTTCCACCTTACCTCCTCCACCATCCTTACAACAGCAAAGGGCATTTCTACATACCACTGTGAACAGTTCCCTTACACCATATCCAATTAATCCCCATGTCTGGATGTTTGACTTCGTAAATGGCTTTCAAGTCCATTAACGTCTCTTCATCATCACTGTCACCACCTTAGTTCAATATGCCATCATCTTTATCTGAACTACTATAATGGACTGACCTGACCACCTGCTTTCTCATATTAATCCTTTTCAGTCAATTTTCCATATTCTATCTGTTTGCATTTTTAAAATGCACATCTAATTACTTTGCTCCCCTGTTTAAAGCCTGCAGTTGGCTTCCTATTGCTCTTGGAATAAAATCCTCAAGGGTTGAACTGGTCCAGGATATGGAGACTGTGTGTGGCCTGGCTCCTGCCCACCTCTCCAGCCACCCCATCTGACCCACTTCACTCCAGTCGTGGAAGAGTCTCTCTGTTCTCCCTACCTCAGGACAGTCATATACATGCTCATCTCTTTCTGGAACATTTTGCCTCCTCCTCTGCACTTACCCAGACCCACTCATTTTCAGAGCTCAGATGAAATGTCACTTCTTAAAGTGACTCTTCCAGGATCAGTTAAGTTCCCCTATGTGGGCCTCCTAAGCACCTAGGGCTCCTCTTTTATAGTACATATTACTCTTATTATTTCAAATTTATGTGATTAATTGCTCAATATCTGACTCCCACTAAAATCTGAGACCCATGAAGGCAGGTACAGTCTTGTTCAATGCTGTAGCCCCAGTGTCAATGAAAATGCTGTGAGTGTGGCAGAAGGCCAATACATATTTGTGGATATTGATATTATAAAATGCAGTTGGCTCTCAGAGGTATCACCTTAGCAATCAGTTGGCACCTTGGTAAAAATGAGTTTGCATGCTGCCAGAGAAAGAATGCAGCCCAGGTGTGCTGCTAGCTCCAGGCTCCTTATCGTTAAAATGGGATCGCAGAAGAAAGTACATGTGAGCAGTCCTTCATTCCTCCTTTGAATGTCATATTACAACACACACAGCATTCCCAGGACAGTGGAATTTAGGGATTGGATTATCCATTCCGTTCAATTTGACCTCCCAAACTGTTTGATAAATTCAGGGTGTTTTTTCTGGACTTTCAGGGGTTCCAAATGGTCACCCCCTTGCAGGGGTAGAGAAACGTCAGGTCCTGGAATCGTCAGCAGTGGGGAGGAGTGAAGGGGAGAGGAGAGAGGTAACAGACGTTCATCATGATCTAACCTTAAGGAGAGAGATGGATAAACAGATCTTTCATCCTGCCAATGTGAATCCCCTGCTAACTTATTTCCTGGACATTACAATGCTAAAGAGAATGTCAGTTTCCTGCTACTCCACCTCTAGCTTTATTACCAAGGTCCCACTGTTAAAATAGCATCAGTGTGTTTCAGGCAGGACCCTGAAAGGTGGGATAGAAAACCCTACAGAGACAAGGCACTTGGAAGGGAAGGTACCACTCCTAACACAGGCAGTGGAAGGAGGCTAAAGGCAGTCTTTATTCCCCTCACAGGTTATCTGAGAGTACATAATTCTGTGTTTCTTGCAGAAAACAAGTATCAGTGAGGGATACTGCAGAATTATTGCCACAAGGTGTTTGAAGCTAAAAATAATAAGCTGGGAATGACATTAAGTAAATAGACTGCCTAACTCCTTCCTGGTGTGCTTCTATTTTCTCCATCAAGGAGAGCAAGCCTCAGACTGCAAAGGCAGAACAAACTTGTGTGAGGCTAGGCAGTCAGGATGAGAGAAGAGTGTGTCTGAAAGTGATGAGCTTGGTCCCAGTGCCTCAATTCTCTTAGCCTGGATAATCTGGCCATATCCTGGGAAAATGAGTGGATTAGTAAACAAGAAGAATCAGCCCAAACTATCACTTCTGAGGATCTTGGAGAAGGGGACAGTGTCTGAAGAATAGAAACAGTCTCAGTTTCATGTCAATTCAGATTATTAAGGTCATGGTTTGTAGACATTGAGTGTAAAGGAAGACGTGGTCACAGACCCTGCATGGAAACTCTACCCCTATTTCCTTCCTTAGTAGAGTTTTTGGGGTGGGAAATAGGACTATACAGTAGGTGGTACAACTGAGTTTCTGCAAGGTTTTGGACACTATGAACACATAAGAACATTTGTGCAAAAGAACTTGATTAACGGAAGCATCACCACCTGGAGATGGAGTTCTAGAGGCATTCCTCTGGGCTCTGGTTTTAACCTGCTCTGCCCCAAAACTGTCACCACTAAATTTAGCTGTCGTTGCATCTAGCCCATACTTTTCCATATTTCCCAAAGGGTGAGATTTAGTAAAGTTAAACAGTGATAAATATAAGGTCCTGTACCTTGGTCTGAAAAATCAGCTGCACATCTAGAGTGCAAGAAAGATGTGGTTTAGCAAGAGTGACACTTTAAACCTCTTAAGACTTAATAATTATTTGCCTCATTCTGAAAGGGTCCACATAGGAAGGGCTACCGTTGGATGATGTCAGCGCTGCAGGACCTCTGCTCCCACTTTTATATAAGTCTGTTAATTTTATTATCAGACATCCAGAGCTCTGTGACTAGATCACCATTACATACAGACTATTTCCCTAAAGAGCTTTAAAGAAAGTTGATTTCGTTTCTCAAGGACAGGGCAGGAGTATCTCTATCTTAAGCATTTGTCATCCAATGGCCAGATCAAAGTTAAACAGCCAAGAATATACATGAAAGGGAGCCATGGAGAGAAATCATGTCTGAAGAAGCATTCTGATGTTCATACCATTCCTGAGTTTAAAAGCACTTTTCACTCATCTCATTTGATCCTCTTCTGCACAAATCTGTGAGATAACCCAGACAGGTGTCCACTTAATGGATGGGAAATCAAATAACCTGAGAGATGCAAAGGTTCCCCAGCTTCTAAGTGACAGGTCAGGGTCCAGAACCAACTTGCAACTTCAAGTTCAGCTCTCTACACTTGAAACTGTCCTGCATGTATGTGTGCATAAAATATAGTTTAAAATCAGGTAATCTTAAGGAAAAGAGCTCCCTGTGTATTTGTTTAATTCAAAAACTATTAGCTATTAATAGTTAACAACTGTTAACTATTTTTTTTTTTTGGAGGCAGAGTCTTGCTCTGTTGCCCAGGCTGGGGTGCTGTGGCACAATCCTGGCTCACTGCAACCTCTGCCTCCCAGGTTCAAGTGATTCTCCTGCCACAGGCTCCCAAGTAGCTGAGACTACAGGCTAGTGCTACCACGCCTGGCTAATTTTTTGTGTTTTTAGTAGAGACAGGGGTCTCACCATGTTGCCTAGGCTGGTCTCAAACTCCTGAGCTCATGCAATCCGCCGATCTCGGGCTCCCAAAGTGCTGGGATTACAGGCTTGAGCCACATCGCCTAGCCAACTGTTAACTATTTAAAAGAGCATATTATGTGTAAATCACTGCTCCCACAGAGGGGGTGGGGCAAGAAGTAGAAGTAGAAGTAGAAGCAATCTCCACCTTAAAGCCCCTCACATGAGTCAGGAGCTCAGACAATGACAGTGGAGGGTCACAAGCTGGAGGAGGACAGAATCTGCCAGGGCAAGGTGGGATTGGGGCTGGATGAAAATGTAGGCTCTGACTGTCTGCTCTGGTTGAATTCTTTACAAGTTCAGAGGGAGGTGCCCAGAGGTTTTGTTTTTGTGTTGTTGTTTTCAATGGAACCTTAATACTGGTATTTCAAACACCTGTGACAAGCAAGGGAAGATGTCTCTTTGGTTTCAGGAACGCTTTCTTGAGTGTTCCTCAACTCCAAATGCCTAAGTAGCCCCTCCCACCCCCTCCGCCCTGCCCCAGTGTCTGACTGGTCTTCCTGGCTGACCTGAGGCCAGCCCCGCCAGACCTTCTCACTTTGCTTTTTAGTTTGGGGTTTGGAACCATTGAACTCTTCCTCCCCACAGCACAATCCTGGTTTGTGACCTTTTTTCCTGTCCCTGACCAAGCCAAATTCTGATCTTTCTGAAGGGCATTAATGTGCCAAGTTTGCAAAATGGAACTTTCAACTCATTCTTCTTGCCACTGTGTTTGTTTTGTTTTGTTTTTCTTTTTCTTGACTAGGCAAGGGGTGTAGTTATTTCTGTGCTCCTAAATTAGAATTTCCATGGTTTTATAGGCATGGAAGGGTCCTCACCCACCATAAGGGACATGTTCACAGAAGAAAAGCTTGACACATTTATTTAATCAGGGTTTTACGTGACATAGGAGCCTTCAGAAATAAAAACCCAAAGATCTATTTTTCTGCCTAGGTTTGATGAAGAATGGACAGTGGTGTAGAAATGTGATTGGAAAAAGGGCAAGTGATTGAATGCTGAGAGCGGAAGGCAGAAATCCAGCAAGGCCTGTCTGTTCAGATTCTTCTTGGCCTCTGTATGGCATTCTTTCCTCCTGGATATGGCACAAGGACCCCTCTGGAATGAGGATACTCAAGAAAGAAGGGAGAGAATGACCTTTCTAGGTTTGACGGCTTGCTTTGGGGGAGAGGAATTCTAATTTCTATGATCCATTTTGGGAAAGAGGAATTCTGGTTTTTATGACTCACTTCAGGGGAGAAAAAGAGGCGAGAAGTAAGAGGGCGAGGGGAGGTCAGAGAGACCTTGCTTCTGAGGCCACTGTTTTAGATCAGTAGTTCTCAAAGTGCAGTCCCCAGGCCAGCAGTGTCATTTTCATCTGGGAACATGTAGGAAATGCACATTCTCAGGCCCCATCCCCGACCTACTGAATCAGAAATTCTGGAGTTGGAGCCCAGAAATTGTCTTAACAAGTCTTCGAGTGATCCTGATGTATGCTCAAGTGTGAGACCCACCTGAATAGAGAACTAGAACATGGAGGCCAGGCGTGGTGGCTCACACCTGTAATCCCAGCACTTTGGGAGGCCAAGGTGGGTGGATCACTTGAGGTCAGGAGTTTGAGACCAGCCTGGCCAACATGGTAAAACCCATCTTACTAAAAATACAAATATTGGCCGGGCATGGTGGCGGGTGCCTATAATCCCAGCTACTGGGGAGGCTGAGGCATGAGAATCACTTGAACCCAGGAGGCAGAGGTCGCATCTCTGCACTCTAGCCTCGGCGACAGAGCGAGACTTTGTCTCAAAAAAAAAAAAAAAAAAAAGAGCTGGAAAGTGGAGCAGAATGTTTCTTCCTTTGCCCAATTTCCTGCTCCTCCTTCAAAAGCCAGGCCACAGGCTGCCTCCCCATTGTGGCTTGTCCTGCCTGCTTCCTCTGGCCTCATCTACCTGCACCACTCACTGGACACTCTCCTGCTCTATGTTGCCTTTTCTCCCTTATCTAAAGGTTTGTTTGTCTTGGCTCTTATGACCAAAGCTACCTGGCTGGGCACTGGTACTTGTATGAAAACCTGATGTTCACCCCTGCCCCAGAACACGTAGTAGAAGCAGGCATCACACACACACACAGACACACATACACAAAAGCTCTCTTTTCCTGGAATGTCATCTGGTCATTTGTTTGTGCATGCTGGGCTTTCCCATAACCAGGGATGCACCATCTGTCCCCAGCTTACACTCCTGTCCTATTGCAGAATTTACTGGAAGTCCTTGCTCTGCTTCTCCTCTGATTTGTCCTCCTTTCCCCCTCCAGAAACAAGCTTGTCATCCTCCTGCCTGTCACAGCCTTGACAGGAGCCTGCTGGATGCCTCTTCTCAGTGTACTGTCTGAGTGCTCCAACCACACTCCCCAACCATGTGTTCCAGCCACTTCTCCAACGACATCCCGTTCTTACCTAGCTCACTCTGTGTTCATATTCCCTTCTACCTCCGGCCTCTGCCAGAATTCAGGCATCCACATATCCCATTCTCTAACCTGAAACTCTCCGTTTCCATTGGCTCATAACCTTCTGCCTGCACTTCTTTGACAAAATGTCCTCTTTGATGGATTTCACTGGACTCTCCTGCTCCAATCACCCTACCAAGCTGTTGATAATTATGTGTATGTGATCAGCTATGGTTAGTCTGTCCAATCTTCCTTGGTAATCCCTATCAAATCAAATACAGTCATCTTTAGACCTTGGGCACTTAAAAAATGATGCTGCCTGAGAGATTTACTTGTAGAAATGACCCATTCTGGGCAAAACACTATTGTAAGTGCTTTGCATATATTATTTTAATGTTACATAAAACATTAAGTTAATAAGTTTTATCAAGATATAATTTTATGGGATGCCACTTGCCTATTTTATCTACTTCAGGCACAGAATTTTGACTATCATAGGATTTCCCAAGTCTAGATAGCACCCCATAACCTTCTTGGCTGGTTTCTTTAACTTGAGGTTTGACATGAAAAAGACTGAGCTCATGCTCTGCAAAGATCATATATTTATGGAAAGATAGGTTGACAGATAGATTTTGATATGGCTACATACAGAACAACTACGAAGAGAAACATGGCTTCTAATACCACCCCCAGCTCTTTCTCACAAGGAGCTGTTGATAAGCCTTGATAAGTGTGGTGAAGACAATGTTATGTTGGGTGCAGTCTGGAGGCCTTCTGCCATGTCTCACACTTTGTGCGTCTCACTCTACTGCAATATTGAGACTCCTGTTCCATGCTTTAGGCTGAGCCCTCAGTAGTAAGTTTTCCACCAAAACATGTGAGCAAGCTTGCCTCTACGCTCAGTCTTTATTTAGTGGTTTCTACAAAGTCTGTTCCCACCAATACCTTCTGCTGGCTGCCTGTTCTGACAATAAACCAAGTGTGCCTCTTGGGTTGTCTAATATGGATGATTTGTGTCTCTGTGTTCTTTGCGGGTGGCTTCCTCTCTGCAGGGCCAGCAGTTTTCTGCAGGGGGTGGCAAAGGGATGAATGCTTTAAATCTCTCTTGGGGAGAGACTAATTTCCTGGGCTGGAGAGGGATCCAAAGTTTGATCCACCATTACTCAATTCCTTCATACTTCCTATGAAACACCATTAAATATCCTCCAGTGTAGCAACAGGGGAATATTATTTAGTTACTATTTGCCTAATATTGTAAGACTTGTGTTGAATTCCTCACAAAGGTGTATTTTTGGCTCTATTCTTTAGATGTAGAATCCAAGACTAAAGATGGTATATGATTTGTTCAAGATGACCTAGCTCTTCTGAGGCAGAACAGGATCCAAATTGATGCCCCTTCTACTTGGACAACTTTCTCTTAGACCTCATGAACCTCAGCGTTCTTTCTACTTCCATGGTATTCTTAGGGCTGACTTACTCAATGGGAGAGCCAGGGTAGCATAAAGGCTAAGTGTACTTGAATGGAACCAAGCTACATAGGTTCACATCCAGGCTCTACTATTTACTAGCAGTGTGACCAAGCGATGTAACCCTGTCTTCTCTGTGCTTTGGTTTCTGCATTTGTAAAATGACAACAATGGTAATACATGTCTGTCTGTCTTTTTTTTTTTTTTTTTGAGACAGGATCTTGCTGTTGCCCAAGCTGGAGTGCAGTGGTGTGATCACTGCTCCCTGCAGCCTCAGCCTCGAACTCCTGGGCTCAAGCAATCCTCCTACCTCAGCCTCTGAGTAGCTGGGACTAAAGGCTCATGCCACCATACCCGGCTTAATAGTTTCTTTCTTTTTTTTTTTTTTTTTTTTGTAGAGACAGAGTCTCACTATGTTGCCCAGGCTGGTCTCAAACTCCTGGGCTCAAGCGATCCTCCCACCTTGGCCTCCTGAAGTGCTGGGATTTCAAGAGTGAGTTACCGTGCCCGGCCCCTACCTGTCTTGGAAGTAATACCTACCTACTTTGCAGGGCTATGAAATGTAAATAGGTAAAGTTTAGAACAGTGCCTACACATAGCAAACACATTCACACATATATGGGTATATGTCTATTTATATTTGCTGTTATTTTTATTAATAATTTCTCCTCCTTGTGTTCATACCCTTTGTGCCCTCTCTTCTGTTCTAGGCTATTCCATTTCCTCCTTTTGGTGTTCTCTCATTCACCTGCTCTGTCCATCACACCTTCAGCCCAATTACTCTTGGAAGGACCTGATTTTGAGCATCTTCATTAATTGTGAACTCAGGGTTCAAGTCCCTTCTCTTGATTATTTTTTGAGGCATCAAAATACTCTCTGCTATCTGAGAGGAGGCTGGCCTGGGCCATAGATGTGGGGGAGGGAGGGACAGAAGACCTTGGTTCAGGTCTGGGCTCTGCCACGTAGAGCTGCTGGGTCTTCAAAATATATTTACCACCCTGAGCCTCTTTCCTCACTCTAGAGATTGTTATAATTATCCTTCTATCTAACTTACAAGGTAGTTGTGAGGATCAAATTAACCCAAATTGGTTTATGTTGCTTGCAGCAAGCACCCCTGACTGATGGAGTCCCTAACTCCTGAGGGTGAAGTCACAAGAGGCTGGAGGACCAGACCTGGAAGAGGGCCATCAGGAACAGGCAGTGGCCATGAAGCAGGCAGGGTTTGCTTGCTGCTGCTGTGATGAAAAGTTTGTCCTTGCATCTAGGAAATTACTCGTGTAAGACCTAGAGTTCCAGGAGAAGGTATCACCCTGGCTGTGCCTTGGTCACTGAGCTTAGCCCCTGACTCTACCAGGGGTGGGAAGAGTGAAGATCGGGCCCCTGTGGGATGTTCGTTCCAAGACACCATACAGAAGCAGTAGGGGTATGATCCTCCCAAAGCTGTTGAGGGAGCTATCTGGAAGATCATAATATGATAAATGCCCACTGGAGAGAGTAAGCCACTTTTCTTCAAGGGGATTTATGTTTTAAAGGCTATATTGTTGAGTTTCCAAATGAATGAAAGGGCTTGGCAATAGAAATCTTCATAGGGGCCCCCAAATCATGCCTTGTACCCAGCTGGCTCCTGGCCTACCAATAAAGCCATCTCAACCTCACAAGCCACAGCTGGGTCCTTTCAATCCTTTGGTGGCTGTTGCTGAGGTCCAGGCAGCCAGCCCTTGAAGTGCCCCCTCTGAGCCACATTTGCTGGGTCACTCATCCTCTTTGTTCCATGCCAGTTTATTCTTGCAGACTGGTTTAACCAACAATTAATAGTGGCCTCCGGAACTGTGTGACTCAGTCCAACCCCTCCCCAAGAATGTGTCTGCCTGTCTCCATGAAGGCTCTGAGACACGGTGGCGAGAGGGGTCTGGGTGACAAGCCCCCTTCCATTCCACTGCTTTAATCCTGCAAGCCAATGCTGCTTCTCATCATGGCCTCAGTTACTTGGGATATATCACAATTCTTTATTCCTGGCCCACACTGGGCTCCCAGCCTCTCTGCAGGGAATCATAGGCATGTTATTTGAGAGGCAGCGAGGAAACCAGAACCCAGTATTAAACTGCAAGGATACCACACTGGTATCCTTGAAGGAGTTAACTCTAATTTTTATCCCCTGAATTCCCAGCTGAGATTTGAAGTCTGCTTTTATTGCACTTGCCTCAGAGGTGAGGTGCCCCTCAGAGTTTCCTGGGAGGGCTGCTGGACTGTGAAGTTATATTCAGGGAACTATTACCCTTTGCTTTTAGCTCCTGACTTCATGGGGCCAGTGACTGCCTTCAGGCAAGCTGGAAATGAGTTCCTGGGGATCCATAAGTACCAAGCAGGGCCAACTCTCTCTGCCTCAGCTGCTGGCTGAGGGGAATGTTTTTCTCCTTTGCTCTTTATTTACTGCCATGGATATTTTCCAATTAAGCTCTGTCCATGGAATTACACCATGGCCACCCAAGTCTCTCAGAAAAGACTGCTCTTTCTCTGGGAATGTCTCTCTCAGTCCCCTCAGGTTGGAGATGTAACTGGACGTTTTAGAGCATCTTTCCCCCAGTGCTTATAGAAATGAGCTATGCCATTTGGTGGAAGAGCAAATAATTATGGCACATATGCATTGTTATTTGCAAAGTGTGAGGCGAGATGCAGACATGTGACAGGACTCCCTGGCCTTGAAGCTCAGGGCTGCGGAGCGGCCAGTTGAAGGAGGACAAGGACGAAAAGGGTAGATTTGAAAACTTCAGTTGGGTGGTTTCTTTCAGAAGAAGCCAAGAGAGGTGTAACAATCTGGTCATTGTTTAGGAAGCAGTAAGGAGGCAGCAGTGGCTGGGAGGAGGAGGGATGGGGAGGGAAGGAGGGGCTGAGGGGTGGGAAACTGCATTGCGGCCTCCAGCTCTGACAGTAGAAATAGGGCGCTGAGTTCCCACAAAAGTGATTGAACAAAGGCCTCAGAATTTCTCATATTGGCCTTAATCATCTCAACAGAATGTTTCATTCAGCTGCAATTAGCCACATAATTAGATAGCTAAGTTTGGGGGGAAAAAATAAAAGGTATGACATAGTCACAGAACATTCTGACTACAGTGCTTTTTCAGATTGTTCACGTGGTTCCTCTTTCCTGAAACTAATCATTGTTCCTATTCCTTCTTTCCTTTCCCAACTAAACTTGCCTCATAATCCTTTAATTCATTGCTGTTGTCCAGTCTTATTGATCTCAGCTCAGCAAACTTATTTAGGCTGGTTTTGCCCTTAAAAAAACAATTTCTCTAATAACATACAGCACAGAATATGATTTTCTTCTTCTTTTTTTTTTTTTAAGACAGTCTCTCTCTGTCGCCCAGGCTGGAGTGCAGTGGCATGATCTCGGCTCACTGTAACCTCCACCTCCCAGGTTCAAGCAATTCTCATGCCTCAGCCTCCCGAGTAACTGGGATTACAGACACACACCACCATGCCCGGCTAATTTTTTTGTATTTTTAGTAGAGATGGTGTTTCACCAGGTTGGGCAGGCTGGTCTTGAACTCCTGACCTCAGGTGATCCACCTGCCTCGGCCTCCCAAAGTGCTGGGATTACAGGCATGAGCCACTGCGCCCGGCCCAGAATATGATTTTCTATAACTGAGACACAATATTCCCAAACACAAGACTTCTTTTTTCCCTCTGGTTTAATCAGGGAATTCTCATCGAATAGGCATGGCTGCATCAACTAAACCAGTAGTTCTCTAGTGTGACTCCTGGACCGGCAACAACAGCATCACCTGGGAGCTTGTGAGAAATGGAAATTGTAGGTCTCTCTCCCAGACTTCCAGCATGAGAAACTCTGGAGGTGGGACCCAGCGATGCGCATTTTAACAAGTGATCACCTCCAGGTGATTCTGATGCATGCTGGAGTCTGAGATCCACCGTTCTAAGATCTTCCAAGAATCTTCTATTGCTTTAGGTTGTTTTGGCATCAAGGAAAGCCCTCAGTGTATGGCTGCAACCTAAGAGAGGTGTGGAGGGGAAATTGACTGCACATGAGATTTCTTAGGATTTCATTCTTAAAAGATTTATAAGTTGAACTTTTTTAATGTCAGGAAGGAAGGCACATCCAGAATGGTGTGTTAGAAGGGGCCCTGGTAACCATCTCCTCTGAGTTGTGGTCTCAACTTGGTCACCAAGCAACCACGGAACCTTAGCAGGTAGCAGCTTCGCTCTGCTTATCAGTTTTCTCATCTGTAAAAAATCAGAAAATTGGAATGGATGATCTTTTCTTATTCTAACAATCTTTGACATGTCTCTTTTTGAATATAGAGTTGCCAGTTTTAGCAAATAAAAAATGCCCAAATTTTTAAAAAACATGCCTAGATTTCAACTTTCAAATTGAATGTCAGATAAACAATTTTCAGTGTTTATGCATATATATATATATATATATATATATATATATATATATATATATACACACACACACACAAATAATATATATGGACATGGGATATACTTGTACAAAAAAAAAATTCATCGTTGGCCAGGTGTGTGGCTCATGTCTGTAATCCCAGCACTTTGGGAGGCCAAGGTGGGAGGATCAATTCAGCCTAGGAGCTCGAGACCAGCCTGGGCAAAATAGGGAGACCCTGTCTCTACAAAAAATTTAAAAATTTGCTGGGTGTGGTGTGTTCCTATAGTCTCCGCTATTTGGGATGTTAAAATGGGAGGATTGCTTGAACCCAGGTGGTCCGGGTTGCAGTGAGCAGGATCATGCCACTGCACTCTAGACTGGGCAACAGAGTGAGACCCTGTCTCAAAAAGATTAAAAATAAAAGAAGTTATTCATTGTTTACTGACATTCAAATATTACCGGGTGTCTTGCACGTGTATTTGTTAAATGGGGCATCTCTATTTGAATGCGAATTTTAATCAGAGATTGTGTCAATAGCAAGGGCCTAATCCAAATCTCTCCCAGAATGCAAAGGACCCTGCAGCTTCAGGGAGGGGCCGCAGAGGGAGCCCCAGATGGGAGGGTCAGAGATGTAGGGCTCTGCTTCTGACCTAACCTTGGGTAAGTCATGTCCTCTCACCAGGACTCAGTTTTATTATCTGTACAATGAGGGGTACTGGACTAAATTATCTCCAAAGTCCTGCCCAGCTGCAAATGTCTTTGAGTATTATGTTTGGCTTTTTCACCACTCTTTGGATCTGTGAAAGGCATTTCACTGTCTTTTTTCTATTGTTTTACTTGTTGGAAAAATGGATTAGTCATGTGAAAGTTAGAAAAATAAATATTTTGGAGCTATGAGCTGAACCCCTTGAAAGTGGTGCTGATATCAGAAAATGGCTTTGGTAGAGCGATAGCTCCTAACTTTGATATGTAGTGTCTGCCTTTGAAAGCCTCATCATTTTAATTATGATAATTTAACACTTAATATCTGAATTTTAGATGGAATGAATAATGCCATATTGACCATTCTTATAAGCAGAGCTTTCCATAGGTAGCTGATTATTTCCTAAGATAGATTTCCTGAAAATGGGGGTGTAGGGTCAAAGGTAAAAATCTCTAGGGGAAACCTCTCCCCTTATCTCTCCACTCCTCCCTCCATACTCCTTTTAGCCTACCCCAAGGAGGTCAAGGGGGATCTGCACTGTCATATCCTGGATCACCAACAGGCCTTGTTTTCCCGGTCAGCACACATGGCTGGGGTGAATTGCTACGCAGTCCCATCTCCCTCTCTTTCTCCGGAGCTGCTCTCTCCACCTGCAATTGGACCCAGGGCTACTGCCCATCATAGGTCTAGAGCCTAAGTGGCCCCTATTCTGGCTCCTCTCTTCAATAGGGGCAGCTATCATTCCCCTTGGGTTCAGGATTAGAGGTCCCTCATGGAGCAGCTTATATCCTGCATGGGTTCAAGGCTATATAGGCCCAATTATTTTCCTGAAAAGGAGCACTGCATGTGAACCAGCACAGGTCCGGGAGTTCAAATCTCAGCTTTGGAGCCAAAGCCTCTCCTAATAGTAAGGAGTTGCTTTTCCTCACCTTGCTTCCTTTGTGCGTTTCTCCCCTGTGGGTGATACATGGAGAGGAAAGTGTTCTGGGCTAAAACACCATTTTTCTACATCTGGGTCTCACAGCCAAATGCTCAATGTCCAACAAAAGAGATTTAAGGCTACTTATAATTTTTTTGCCTGGTTCTATAATGAGCATTTATTATTTTATAAAAAGAAAAAGTTATTCCTTAAAAAAAGCCCTATAATTACTCCCAACTGATCATTTTCCCCACCTCTACATTTTTAGAGGAACCAGAATGCAAGCCGTTGCTCCCTGACTGACTTGCTTTGTGTATTGGATCAGGTATACAATTAATAATGGATGGTATTTAGACAATAAAGATTTTCAGATGTGTAAATATGTTGTACTTGGTCTTGTTAGAAATGGAATGAAAAGGAGAAAAGCCTGAGGAGAGAACGCATTTAAGAAAAAAATAAGGAACAGATAGTGGGGCTCTCTTCTCAGGGAGTGTATGTCCCTTTCATGCAATAACTTTTAGATGCTCAGGGAGAAGAGACTGGGAAACCAAAGTCTAGCCAAGAGCCATCATGGTGGCCCTCAGACTCAGAGTCATTCATCCGAAATCATTAAGTGCCTTGGGAGGTGGGTAAAGTGCTTGCTCTGAAATTAATTTGCATTTTTACTGTGTCACTCTAGTGACTTTCTCCACCCCTCTGTAAAATTCTCTGCCCTAGTTACCTAAATCTGATCAGCATTTGCATGATTGAGCCCTGGAGGCTCTTCAGCCTTGTTCCCTGGAACAGGAAGAGAATTCAGCAGAGGGATGACAGCAGACAAAGGCAACTGCAGCCTTGAACCAGTAGAATGCTGGGAGACACTATTCCGGAAAGTGCTTCTCCTACTTAACTCAAGTGCTACAGTCCCGAGGCTATTTCTTTGAGATTGGCCCTCTCTAATGATTAGATTTTTGGCTTACAAAGGAAGTACTTTTTGAACCATCAAAAGCCTCAGGGTAGTAACCGCTAAAGTAAGTTTGGCTGAGTTCTCTGTGCAGAGTTTGTTCATAGGAGAGAAATTGGAAGTTTTTTGGGTTGTTGGCTTGCTTAAATGCTTGAAGGAAAATGAACTACTAGGAAGGTTTAAAGGGGTTCTAAATTTTGTGTTTGTTTAGACTGTTGCCAGATCACCCATTGAGAAATAAAGAACAGTCAGGGTTGAGTAATTCTTCTGTCAGGCGCACTGTTGAATCAAATAGTCCTTAACAAAGGAAATACATTTTTTACATTGTTGAACTATTATCAGCCCAAATATTAACCCTTATTTGCATAATTTTGTGTTCTGAATAAGATCATTGATGTGTTATCTCTTTTAGTCTTCTCAACAGTCTTATGAGGTGAACAGTGCACATAAGGAAATTGAGGGCTTTTGCAGTTTTGCAGATAAGGAAATTGAGGGCTCACAGTCAAGTTAAATGGTAAAGCTGAGACCAAAAGCTGGGACCTCAGACTCCCAGAACAGTGTCCTCCTGGATTGATGGGGATGATCAAACTCCCACACACACTCAACTTCCTTGATGTCAGTGGTAATGGTTAGAAACACTGAACTTGGATAACATTTGTTTTAAACACAACCTTACACAAGCAATTAGTCTTTATGAAAATGAGTCCAAGAAGTTCAGCTGAAATGCTGATGGAGATTGAATCACTTTCATAGGAAGATAGGCTGAAATTATTATAACTATTTAGGCTCAATGGGAACAGACTGAAGGGGATTAATGAAGGAAACTTGGCTTTCATTTCAACATTAGAAACCAGACGTGGGCTAGGCACAGTGGCTCAAACCTGTAATCCCAGCACTTTGGAGGCCGACATGGGAGGATCACTTGAAGCCAGGAATCCAAGATGAGCCCGGGCAATGAAGTGAGGCCCCATCTCTACAAATAAAGAATTAAAAAATTAGCCTGGTTGTGGTGGCACATATCTGTAGTCCCAACTACTTGGGAGGCTGAAGCAGGAGGATTACTTGAGCCTAGGAGTTCAAGGCTGCAGTGAGCCATGATCATCCACTGCACTCCAGCTTGGGCAACAGAGTGAGACCCTGTCTCTAACAAAAGAAAAAGAAGAAGAAGAAGAAGAAAGAGAGAAACTAGATGTGACCGCTTTGAAGGTTGGGCGATGTTTTGGCACAAGCACAGAGTCGTGAGACTCATTATCAACTGAGGTAACCTTGCCTCTTAAGAGCTAGAGAAGATTTTGCTCAAACACTCCACAGCTGGTAGAAAGTCTAAGCTCTTTGCCCATTTTTGCAAATTCCCAGAGGCTCATGTCCTCATGGTCACCTCTGGATCTAATTCCTTTCTTTTGATGAGTATACTTGAGTTTATGAACTTTATACTTTTCCACACTGGCTCCACCCAACCTGATAGAGAATGTAGTGTATTTCTTTGATTTTCTTCACCCCACTGCTACCAAGATAGCAACAAAACATAAACAAAAATTTGATCATTAAGGCCGGTATTAGTCCATTTTAACACTGCTATCAAGAACTTCCTGAGACTGGGTAATTTATAAAGGAAAGAGCTTTAATTGACTCACAGTTCCTCATGGCTGGGGAGATCTCAGGAAACTTACAATTGTAGTGGAAGGGGAAGAAGACATCTTCTTCACAAGGCAGGGGTAGAGAGAGTGTGTGAAAGAGGAACTGTTAAACACTTACAAAACCATCAGATCTCATGAGAACTCACTCACTATCACGAGAACAGCATGGAGGAAACCACCCCCATGATCCAATCACCTCCCTCCCTCAATACGTGGGGATTACAGGTCTCTCCCTCCTGTAATCCCTCCACACGTGGGAATCAATTCGAGATAAGGTTTGGGTGGGGACAGAGAGCCAAACCATATCAAGGCCTTCGTTTGTACAGCAATTTTCGGGAAAACCAAAAGTATTTAAATTGCAGAAACACAATGTTAAATTGCATAGTAGACCTCCCTCTCTGTAAAGGTCATTTTGGCCACTGCGCCAGTAGATGTCTCACTGGCCGGATTCCCTCCAATATATGGTGTCCCAGCCTGTGTCGACTAACTAAATCCCTCTCTCTCCTTCAGTCTCTTTTCCTTTCCCCTCCCCTGTCCCCATCAGATTGCCCCCAGGAATTCCAAATTCTTCTTGTTATTTATGGAAACCTGCGCCGCAACTCTCTTTTGCCCATGCTCCTTCAGCCAGCACCAGGCCCAAATCAAAAGCCATTATTGTGCTCAGATGAAAAATAGGGCTCATTACCATATCAGCATGGAAGACCCTGGCCCCTTTGACTGTCATAGCATCCATACTCCTTGAAGGCAGTTATGATTTTAAAAAACATTTTCTCCCTTTCTTACAATATTATATTCTCAAAATAGCAAGGAGTCCCAGAAGGTTTTAGACTCAGGAAGTTGGGAGTTAATGATTACCTTGAGCATCCCTAAGGTGGTCAGTCTCATATATGGCCCCAGGCATGGCCTGTTAATGGTATTTCCAGGCACTGCTTCGGGGCTCGGTGGACCAGGAGGGTTGTCTCCACAGGGATTCTCTATTCTTATCTTGTTACAGGAACTACACCTGAAGATGAACGGGTAACTGTGTGGTGGGAGTGGAGAATATAGGGAATTTTGTTTTCTTGAGGAAAATGGTTCTCAATATGCAATGAACCCTCTTACCCTATTAGGGACTAATCAGAAGTTACTTAGGGTAATTATACAGTGAAAGAGTATGTGTGAAACAAGCCCAAAAGAGTGAAAAAAATTAGACATCATATCCATTTATCACACGAGATACTTCACTTTGTATCTTATAAAGGTAATTTGAAAATCCTAGTTTTTAATTTTCTTTATAGCTGAGTTCTGAAAGTGTGAGAATATTAACAAGAAGAAAGAAGTTATTTAAGCAGGAAATGCCCCAAATACACTGTCATCTAGAAATATTAAACCAAAAAACTTAAGCTGCTAGCTTCAGAATTTTATTTTTAAAAGTTTATTGTTCATAGTCCAAGAACTTATTCATATGCAGTATTTGAGACATTGAGTAAATACGTTAAAGTGAGAGTCAGAGCCTTTACTTGATCCAGTCCGTCTCCCCAGTTAAGGTCTGTACTAACAAAATCATATCATAATGATCAATTTCAATGTCTTTTATTAACTTTGTCAGTAAAAATTAGTAGAATATTTTTCTGTGCTGTTACTATGATTATAGCGAATACGTTGAGTGCCTCCTAGGTGCAATATGAGATGCTTTACATGAATAGGCTGTCTTTTTTATCTTTAAAATTTTTATTATGAAAAATTTCAAAAACACATGACAGCAGAGCCCCCCATCCCCTGTACGAAAACATCAGCCTCCTGTTCTTTTTATGCACTCTTTGCAACATGTTTAATGAATTATTTTAAAGTAAATCTCAAACATCAGATTTCATCTATAAATACTTTCATCTATAAATACAATGTGTATCTGTAAGAGATAAGAACTTAAAAACACTTAACCCTGAAACTATGTCACAACCAACAACATTTACAATCATTCCTCAACATCATCTAAAAGTTCATGTTCAAGTATTCCTGACTGTTGAAAAAAATGTCTTTCATAGTTGGTATGTTCAACTCAGGATCCAAATAAGGTCTGTACACTGCATTTTGCTATCATGTCTCTTTTAACGCACAGCAGTTCCCTCTTTTTGTGTATGCCACTTATTTTTTTAGTAAACTGGGTAATTTATTGTGCAGTTTAGAATTTCCCACGTTGAGGCCTTGACTGACTGCATCTTTGTGGTATTGCTGACCATGTGCCACTACCTCCTGTATTTCTTGGGTGGATCTAAAACTTGATTGGAATTAGGCTTAATTCCAATTTTTAGGCTCAATTTGGGGGAGGGGCAAGAATACTTCCTGGGAAGTGGTCTGTGTTCCCCTATCACATCGTACCCGGAATGCACTTAATGACTGGATGTCCCACTTAGCAATGCTGAGGTTGATCAGTAGGTTCAGGTGAAGCTGGATCCTCATCCATTCTGGGGTTCCCTATATGCCTTTCACCTGAATGATTTTTAGCAACCATTAATGAGCAGTGCCTATATCTACCATTTTCTTAAGGTTGAAAATTTTGATTTTTCTAATTCTGTTGTTCCTGCAATAATTAGCTATGATTCATTTATAAAGGAGAATTTTCCTCATAAACTCTTTGCTTTCCCTGAAAATCAGGATAAATCTTGAAAGACAGAATAAATGCTTGATTCCCTTCATATTTATCCATTCTCAGTATAATGAGTTGATACCCGAGCAATCTCCAAAGATGACCAATGATGCTTTTACTTTTTATTATTATAGGCCTGTGGGAATTGCATAGGTTTTATGTGTTTGAAACCCTTGCATTTATTTTTCTTTTTGATGAATAAATGCTCCACCTTTGACCAGTGAGAGCCCTTTGAAATTGGCTCCTGTGTCATTTTGACTGACCCTAGAAGTCTTATAGAGTAGATACATTTCCAAAATCCTGAATGTTAAACGCATTTTTGTAAATATTAGAGTTATAGCGTCATAGAGTTGAAAAAATCTTAAGGATTGTTTAGTCTCCTACACAAATAAAAAGTCCTTTCTCTGTTATCCTTGTCTTAAGGTTGTGGAGCCTGTGAAAATAGTGGAAACTCCCTAGCTTATGAGGCAGGGTCTGCCATCTATGGGATATTCCAGTTGTCAGGAAGGATATTCAGTCTGCTTCCAACTCCCACCAGAAAGGATGTAATTATTTTATTTTGTGGATGCTGTAATCTAATAATATAGGTGGAAATAACATTAAGTTTTGGGGAAATCAGGTTACATGGTGGGACCAAACCAAGCTTTCATTTAACTAAAACCGCCTTTTCAAAATGAGTGTATATGGTGAAATAGTTCAAACAGTAGAGTAGAATGTAAAATGAATGTTAGGTTTCCACCTCCACCACCAGGCCTACTTTCTAGAAGTTATCATTGTTAGTTATTTTTTATCTTTCCAGAAGGTTTCTGTATACATAAGCATATATAGTATTTTTTTAAACAAAAAGGATCACACTCTACTTTTTTATTGCACTTTTTCTTTTTAACTTAGTAACGTGGATATCTTTTCATGTTAGGACATATTAGGACGTATAGAAGCAAGGACATGCTTGCTTCCCTTTTGCCTTCCACCGTGATTTTAAGTTTCCTGAGGCCGCCCAGCCACGCTTCCCATGTAATGGATATGGCTCACTCTTTTATATCCCTTTGATAGTTGCTACCTAATAATAGTACATATTAAGTTTCATTTCCTAGTTTTGTATCAATTTGATTAAAAGAGTCATAGTTTCTTAGCCTCTTCAGCTGTAAAATGGGAATGCTGATCATAGTCCCTCCTTCACAAGCTGCTGTCACTCTGGGAGGCTAATATTCCCAATGGCTGCAAAGGTATTCTACCTGTGAAGATGTTTCTTAATTGACTTAACCAAAATCTTATTGATTAATTTGTATACATCTTTGGGTAGTTTTGTTAGTACATCCTTAGGATAAATTCCTGGAAGTCTGATTACTTAGTAAAAGTTCACATGTTTTAGATTGATAGGTATTACCAAATTATCTCTCAAAAAGGTTACAAAATGAGTCTTTACATCATGCTTCCTCTGGTGCTAACAATGGAAACTACAAAACCTTTTAATGTTTGCCAATCTGTAGGTGAAAATGACATCTCATTTTATTTTGTATTTTTATCTTGAAATACAGCTGACAATTTGTATTTCTTTTTCTGTAAATTTTATATTCAAATTTTCTAGTAGGTTTTTTGTTTGTTTTACCTATTGATTTTTAATCCTGTTTGTATTTTAAGAAAATAAATTATTTGCTTTCTATATGCATTGCAATTGTTTTTTCCCAGGTTTGCAATAGTATTTTAACTTCATGATGTTTTTTTGAAAAGGTGAGGTTTGAGGTTTTATGTCATAATAGAGGAGGAATTCCTATTCCAAGATTATATATAAACAATCATCCATATTTTATTCTGTCAATTTTTGTAATGTCATTGTATACACTTTAATCCTGGACCCTTCTAAAAATATGTGTGAAGTGGGGATCTAATTTTAAAACATAATTGTTTAAGTAATTCATCATATCACTCCAGTGATATGAAATGACACCTTATTTTCATGAAATAAAAACATTTCCAGACTCAGAAAGTTTACCACCCACAGACCTGCTCTGATAGAATTACCAAAGAATATTCTCCATCAAGAAGGAAAATGAACCCAGAACACAGTAAAGGGATGGAAGAAGTAATGCTACACAAACAAAAAGTAAACCATATAATAAGCATTGCTTATAAAATATTATTTTAAAAAATAATTAGGTCTAAAACTCTGGATAATAACATGGGTGAGTGTGTGTAAGGTTTCAGGAGCAGTGGAAAATAAAATCATGTAATGTTCTTGTCATGTCTCAGGGAAAATATGTGGTGATTAGTTTCAGGGTTTCTGAGAGTATAAACTTAAGTACGCACATGACAATTTTAAAGATAATTAGGCTTACTACAGTGGCTAAAATTTAGAAGTCTGACAATACCAAGAGTTGGCAATGATGTGGAAGAATAAGAATGCTCTGGCACTCCAGCCTGGATGATGGAACAAGACCCTGTCACTAAAAAATAAATTTAAAAAAAGGAATCAGACATTTATTGGGGGAAGTATATATTATGTCCACCTTGAAAAACAGTTTGGATGTTATCTGCTAAAGTTGAAGATTCTCATATCCTGTGGCTGAGCACTTTTACTCCTAGGTGTGTGTGTGTATATGTATATGAATATAACTCCAAGAGAAACCTGAGTACCCATGCACCAAGACACATACACAAGAAGGTTCATAGTAGCAATGTTCTTCATATTCAAAAATCAGAAATAGTTGGGCACAGTGGATCACTCCTATAATCCCAGAACTTTTAGGATTGCTTGAACTCAGGAGTTCAAGACAAGCCTGGGAAACATGGCAAGATGCCATGTCTACAAAAAATTAAAAAAAAAAATTAGCTGAACCTATTGGCGTGTGCCTGTAGTCTCAGTTACTTGAGAGGCTGAGGAGGGAGCATTGCTTGAGCCTGGGAAGTGGAAGTTGCAGTGAGCTGAGATCATGCCACTGCACTCCAGCCTGGGTAACAGAGCAAGACCCTGTGGCAAAAACAAAAAAGCCAAAAAGAGAACAACAACAACAACAACAAAACCAGAAACAACCAAAATAATCACCAACAGAAAACAGAAAACACATTGCATTACGTTTAAACAAAAAAATGCTAAATGGCAATAAAGGTAAACTACGGCAACATGTCTGCAGACTGAATGAATCTTAAACCATGCTGCAAAGTGCTAGAAATTGATTACTATAAAAATGTGGATGGCGGCTGCCTCTGGGGAGAGGAAAGAGGTTGTGGTTGGGAAGGTATAAGACACATGTGAAATGTAACACATTATTATAAAGCAAATGCCCCGACACCATAATCCAGACCCACAAGTAGAACATTGCCAGTGACCTGGAAGCCCTTACGTATTTCTTCCTAAGCAAAAGAGCCTCAAGAAAGATTTCCAAATACATCAGTAATTTCCCAAAATAGGAATGAGTTAAACTCATTTATTAAAATATATATCAATTGAGAGAGACTCGACATCTCTATAACACTGAGTCTTTCCGTGTAAGAACTAGCAGTATTTTCCCTTTAATCAAGTCCTTATGATTTCTAGTAGAATTCTCAAGTTTTCTTCATTCTCCCAAGTCATTCCCATGGGGTTCTTCATCTTGCACTTGATTTCTGTTTGTTTGGTATGTTGTTTTTCCACATGCCTAAGGAGAGTAGTTGCCATTTATTCCTGGTGAATGTTAAGCTTTTTGTTTGCATCCGTGACTCCCGTCTGTGCTGCTTCTCTCATATCTCTAGCTGCACACAAATCTCTGATATTAAATGGTGGCTCAGACAGAGCCAAAAGCAGAACTCTGCAGCATGCTGGAAAGATCCCCTTCTAGGCAAACACATGACCTATTCATCAGGAGTATTTAAGAATAGTTGTATAAACACCTGTAACTTTAACCACACTATTTAGGATCTGTTATTTTTTCATCTTGTCTTCAAGAACATCATGGAATCAATTTTTGAATTATATGTATATACTACGTAAGTATATATATCTATATTAAAAATATATTTTTCAACAGTTTTTGGGGAACAGGTGGCGTTTGGTTACATGAGTAAGCTATTTGATTTCTGAGATTCTGGCACACCCAAGCAGTGTCCACTGTACCCAGTGTGTAGTCTTTTATCCCTCACCTGCCTCCCACCCTTTTCCCCAAGTCCCCAGAGTCCATTATATCATTCTCATGCCTTTGCGTCCTCATAGCTTAGCTCCCACTTATAAGTGAGAATATATGATGCTTGGTTTTCCATTCTTCAGTTACTTCACTTAGAATAATGGCCTCCACTTCCATCCAGATTCCTGCGAATGCCATTATTTCATTCCTTTTTATGGCTGAGTAGTATTCATGGAAAAAATTTAAAGTGCCTTTCTAAAATCCAAATAAAGTACATTTCCTTTATTTCATTGTTAAGTAAACCTAGGGGGGTAAGAAAAATCTGGAATTACCTTGACTTGACTTATTCTTAAAGAATCCTAGGCCAGGCACAGTGGTTCACATCTGTAATGCCAGCACTTTGGGAGGCCAGGGTGGGAGAATCACTTGAGGCCAGGAGTTTGAGACCAGCCTTGGCAACATGGCAAAACCCCATCTCTACAAAAAAAAAAAAAAAAAATCTAAAAATTAGCTGGGCGTGGTGGAGCATGCCTGTAGTCCCTGCTACTCAGGAAAACTGAAGCAGGAGGATCACTTGAGCCTGGGAAGTTGAGGCTGCAGTGAGCTGTGATTGCACCACTGCACTCCAGTATGGGCTACAGTGTGAGACCCTGTCTCAAAATAATAATAATTTGTATTGGCTTCCTATAGCCAATGTTTTCTAAGTACCTGTGAACCATCCATTAAATAATCCTGGGATCAGCATGAAGCTCACCCACCTATATTTTCTAGAATTGACTCTCTATGTCAGATTGGATTATTGTTACTAACACCCTTACTCCCTGTATTAGGATAATAGGTCCCTGACTTTTTCGGTGTCTGCTATGGCCTGACAATCTTAACTGCCTAGAGAGTAACTCAGCTGGGAAGTAGGAGCTCTTAATTCCTCACCTATCTTGGGCTTCAGGGACTAAAGCGTTGTTTATTCCACTTGCTCCAATTTTATTTTCTATCTCCTTGATAAAAGTGGCAAGAAAAGGGAAGCTACATCTGATTCCCATCATTTGGCCATAGTACGTTAGCCACCTCAAGCAATTGAATCCTATTCTGTCACTGACTGATAGAAGGAAGTTTAAGATGCTTCCATTTTTGTGGTTTTTCTTATTCTTCCCAATTTCAGCAGCCCATCACTGCCACTTGTTTCCGTAAGTAAGAGAGACTATTTTAAAAGTCCAAGTTGCTAATTTCAGTCTATTTTGACATGAACTGTCTAAGCCATGTGTGTGTCTACGTGTGTGTATGTGAAAACACTCAGTTTCTGAGAATCCTTAATTCATGTCCTTAGATAGACTTGGCTTCAGGATAATTTTTAGATTGTAAACGTGGGCTCACTGATGTAGCGGCAGAGGGGAGAGTCCTTACTCTGGAGGACAGTTCGGATTTGCACACTCCTCTGAGCATTCATTTTGTGTGTTTGTCACTAACGGTGAAGGAGGTGAACCAAACATTTTATAATGAATCTCCGACAGGAACAACTTGTTCTTTAAATTCAGAAGCCAAGAAACTTTCAATAGAATTGGTTTAGAGGGCCCGGGTGGTGGTTTTTTGTTTTTGGGGGGTATTTTTTGTAAACTCAAGTGGAGCAATTCTTATTCAGTCAGAACCAAAATCCTGTCTAACTATATTTGCATCACACTCGCTGGCACAAATTGCCTGGTGATGAAAATAAAAGAGCCTGTGTAAAAGTCTTGGAATAAAAACAACACACATAAGAAAAAGGAAACAGGATCTTGAAGGGAAATAGGAAGGAGAAAGAGGTCAACAGAGGAGAAATGGGGGAGGAGGGAAAAAGGGGGAGGGAGAGAATATCTATAGTCAGAGAATACTTGCATTGAAAGTTGCCTACAAGAATATCTAATCTAACTTAACAACCCTTACATTAATGGTTTGGATATTGAGGCACAGAAAGCCTAATTTGCACAGTAGCACTCAGTTAATAACAAAGCCTGTAGCCATAGTCTCACCACCTGTGTTCATTCTTTTTTCCTTCTACTCCTTACCCCTCAGGCAGGCTTATACATTAATTTGTTTAATATGCAATTAAAAATTTTATTTTTTTTAAAACTTTTATTTTAGGTCCAGAGGTACATGTGAAGGTTTGTTACGTAGGTAAACTTGTGTCACAGGAGTTTGTTGTACAGATTATTTCATCGCCCAGGTAATAAGCTCACTACCCAATAGTTATCTTTTCTGCTTCTCTCTCTCCTCTCACCCTTCATCCTCAAGTAGACTCTAGTGTCTGCTGTTCCTTTCTTTGTGTTCGTAACTTCTCATCATTTAGCTCTCACTTATAAGTGAGAACATGCAGTATTTGGTTTTCTGTTCCTGTGTTAGTTTGCTAAGGATATTTGCCTCCAGCTCCATCCATGTTCCCCCAAAAGACACAATCTTATTCTTTTTTATGTCTGCATAGTATTCCATGGCATACATATACCACATTTTCCTTATCCAATCTTTCAGAACATGCAGTTTTTAACTGGCTTGATTCATTGTGAGAAGAGAAACAACTGCCTCCTAGAAAAGTACAACAGAAAGGTTTGGATGCATTTGAAAGACTAAGAAAAAACCCAGGATATATTTTCATTCAAGCATCTGACATAGTTATTTGTCCAAACATAGCTGTTTGTACCTAAAAACTGAACGTTAAGTTTTCTTCTGGAGTATAGCACAGAAACTCCTTAAAGGCAGATTCCAAAGCTCCCTTCGTTGCTCTGGAAACTGGTTAATGTTCTTAGCCATCATGCCACGACTCACCTCATCCTTCCCTCAGGATGGGATTTCCAGAAGGACAAGAGTGAAGCTGGGAGAGGCTTCCATTATGATCTTCTAATCTTGCACTAAGGTACACGTGGGTCAACATCACACACACACACAGTCACATACAACACAAGCTACTCAAGGAATTTAGTCTTCTTCACTCATATCTACCTGTTATACCTGTAACAGTGTGGCCACAGGGGGGACAAAAAGTGCTATTCCAACTTATTAAAAAAATTTAGTTTTCTTCTTGCCCTGAAGAAAAAGTCCATTTCCCAGAACTACTGTAATAGGATGTTACAAGTATCTCTGACACCCAGAGATATGTATTCGGAATCTAACAAACTGGTGGGGCAGTGCCTCCCAAACCTCTTGGTACCAGCTGATGTGCTTGCAGGGAATGGCCAGTCTGTGGGACAGAAGTTGTAAGTTTAAGTTCCAGGGGGAGAGACTAGAGGAAAGGACCTTGGGGGGTTGTTTTCACAAAGGAAAGCAAGAGGCTTGGGGCACATGTATTGTTGCTGAAGGGCCTAAGAGCCAGACAGGGCCAGGGTAGGTCTGGGCTGGCGATTTCCACCTAGAACACAGTGTGGTTCTAGCAGTGCGTGCATCAAGAAAAGATGAAATAACAGACAGCAGTACTGGCCTCAGAAGGACTTTGCAGTTTTGGGGGCCCAGGAAACAGCAGCCTAGGCAGGGAGAATCATTGCTTTTGGAGAGCAGCCCAGCAGCAGCTGCAGTGGGGAGACACTGCCCTCAAGTGGCCTGTGGGCTGGGGACCTCAATGGTCCAGAACTCACCAGAGACATACCAGGATTAATTGGGGGACACTGAACATCCTGCTGTCAATGCTGTCAAATAGGTGGCAACTGTGAGCCCGCACATTCATATGTTAATGTTAGCATGATGTGCCCACGTGATCAGGAGGCCTGGGAAGGGGTCATTCTCTCCTTCCTCCTCTCATACCTGTGCTCCATCTTCCTCCAGAATTCCTGGATTCCAACTTCACAGATCAAGAGCATTTTCTCACAGCAGTCCTACGTCCTGACCATTGTGCAAGTGTATATTACACAGAGGCAGGAAGCCATTCATCTGCAGTCATTGTTGAGTTGTACCATTATTGTGAACATTTCGTGACAAGTGGCTGTGAAGTGACTTGAGGTTCAGGGTTTTTCCCCAATTTTTCTTATTGGGTAATGGAGGGACTTCCATTAGTGCAGGCCTCTGTTCCAGATATGGTTGTATCCTAGGAGATATCCACATGGATGGCCTCAGAGAAGACCCATCACCAGGACTGAAGTCAAAATGGAGGAAGTGTTAGACTTTCTGACATTGTTCCTGAGTAATTTCAGTTGGGGAAATATGGGGGAAAAAATGAGTGGATTCTTAGTGACTGGCCTTCAAATCGTGAGATGATCTGTAAAAACAAACCCCCTCTCCAGGCACTAGTTCCGAATTCAGGTCTAAGGACAGAAACTGTGTTCTATTCCCCTCTGTTTGTGCAATCTCAGCATAATGCCCATCACCAAGGTGTTTGTTGAGTTGAATTTTGTTGAATTCCTTTTTCAATAAGGTCTAGCAATAAATACATCAATAGCAAACAAATTAGGAGCTTTGCTACCACAAAATACAAGTGACCCCAGGGTGTAATGCAGACAGTTTGAGACTCTATGTCATAACTTGAGTGAGTTTGGAGCACTGGGTGGGAGAGAGAAACACAATAGGAAAAAAAGTTAACATTTGTTTTTTGTTTTGTTTTGATACAGAGTCTTGCTCTGTCACCCAGGCTGGAGTGCAGTGGCACAATCTCAGCTCACTGCAACCTCCACCTCCTGGGTTCAAGCGATTCTTATGCCGCAGCCTCCCGAGTAGCTGGGATTATAGGCGTGTGCCACCATGCCCAGCTAATTTTTGTATTTTTAGTAGAGATGGGGTTTCACCATGCTGCCCAGGCTGATCTTGAACTCCTGACCTCAGGTGATCTCCCCCCGTTGGCCTCCCAAAGTACTGGGATTATAGGCAGGAGCCACTGCACCCAGTCAAAAAGTTCACATTTGTTGAGCACTTACTATGTACTGAATGCTCTGCTTTCATTATCTCTATTGAGGGTTTGGTGTAGGGCTTGGGAGCTTCATTCTATCCTCTCACCTTCCACCCTTAAGGTTATAAACAAACAAACTTACTTATGAAGGACAATAACCAAATGGGAAACAAATGAACACTTTAGACATGGTAGCCCCACTGTACACTAATATTTAGGTTGGTACAAAAGTAATAGCGGCTTCTGCAATTAAAAGTAACTGCAATAACCACAGTTACTTTTGCACCAACCCAATACAAACTCTGAGTTGAAGAATTGAACTTAAAGGAGGCCTTTTGGTTCTTCCTCACCTGAATCTGAGATGGTCAGTTCCCCAGAAAAGATCCAACCTGATTTACCACACTCAGTTTCCAGTAGAGAAGGTGGGGCACAGAGACAATGTATGAGGTAGGGTCCTTTCTAGGCCTCTTACATCATGGAGACAGAAAATAAAAATAAGCATCTGGCCCATTCAAAGGACCCAGGCCCTCTTTCTGAAGCAACTACATCTTATTATTTATCTACTGCTATGTAACAAATTACCTCAACACTTGGTGGTTTTAAAACAACATTTATTATCTCACAGGTTCTGTGAATCGGAAATCTGGGCATGCCTTGACTGGGTCCTTGGGCTCAGACTGTGTTATACCACTGCAATCAGGCTGTCAACCAAGGCTCACTATGGAAGGGTCCACTTCCAAGCTCATTTATATGGTTGTTGATAGGATTCAGCTCCTTGTGAGCTATCGGACTGAGAACTTCAGTCCCTTATTGGCCTCTTGGCCAAAGGCTGCCCTCAGTTCCTGACACATGAGCCTCTCTATATGGTGGTGCATTATATGACAGCTTGCTTTATCAGAATAAGCAAGTGGGAAAAGCCAAGCAGAGCATGTGCAAACGAGAGAGAAGTCACAGTCTTTTGAAACCTATTCTCAAAAGTGATGTCTCCTCACCTTTATTATATTCTACTCATTAAAATATAAATGTCATTTAGAAAATTTGAAAATATGTGGAACAATAACAGTCATAAGTAACTATTATGTAAAGAAGAAATAAAAAGGAAAATCCAAAAATATAGGCATTTATAGCTATACATATTATAATGTATAGCTATAAATGCCTATATTAAAAAGAAGAAAGATGTCTTTTAAACACAAATATTTCCTATCGTGTTTTAAATATCTTTTAAATACAAAAATTAGCTGGGCATGGTGGCACACGCCTATAATCCCAGCTACTCGGGAGGCTGAGGCATAAGAATTACTTGAACCCAGGAGGTGGAGGTTGCAGTGAGCTGAGATTGTGCCACTGCACTCCAGCCTGGGTGACGGAGCAAGACTCTGTATCAAAACAAAACAAAAAACAAATGTTAACTTTTTTTCCTATCGTGTTTCTCTCTCCCACCATTTCCTTTAAGATGAATGAAATAAAAACACAACATACCAAAACTTACAGGATGCAGCTGAAGTGACATTTACTGGGACATGTATAGCTATAAATGCCTATATTATAAAAGAAAGATTTCAAATCAACCTAACCTCCACCTGAAGATGCTGAAGAAAGATCTAAAGCAAGGAGAAGATAGAAAATAATAAAGATTAGAATAGAAATTAATGAAACAAGGAAGAGAAAAACAATATATAAAAATCAATACCAAAAGCATGTTCTTTGAAAACATCAATAAAATTAACAAACCTTTAGCTAGATTGACAAAAAAAAAAAAGATTATAAAGGGAATACATGCAAAATATATGATATTATATGCAAAAACCTAGATAACCTGGATGAAATGAACAAATTCCTAGAAAGACATAAACTAATAAAACTGACCCAAGAAGAAATAGACACTCTGAACAAAACTGTAATAATGGAAAAGAATGAATTAGTAACAAAAAATCAGATTACTCAAAGAGAAAAGCAGGAACAGATGGCATCAATGCAGACATTCTACCAAATGTATAATTGATACCAACTTTTCACAAACTCAAATTCAAAAAAATAGAAGAAGGAACTCTTCCTAATTCATTCCATGAAATTAGAATATGAGATGATCTGTTCCCCAGAAACTGACCAGAAATTATTCTGATACCAAAATAAGACAAATGCATCACAGAAAGACTGCAGATCCATGTCTCTTATGAATATGTATGCAAAGATTGTAAACAAAAATACTAAGAAACCAAACTGGCAGTGTGCAAAAATTATACACATAACCAAGTACAATTTATCCCAGGAGTGCAAAGGTGGTTCAACACAAGAAAACCAATCAATATAATATACTGCATTAATAGAATGAAGGGAAAAAATCACATGATCATCTCAATTAATGCTGAGAAAGCATCTGACAAAATCTGACATTATTTCATGATTAAAAACATCAAACAAACTGGGAATAGAAAGGAATTTCATTAACTTGATAAAGGACATGTATGGAAAACCCACAGCTAACATCATACTTAATGGTGAAAGACTGAATTCTTTTCCCTTAAGATCTGTAACAACACAAGATGCCCATTCTCACCACATTTATTCAACATTGTACTGGAGGTTCTAGCCAGGACAATTAGGCAAGAAAAATAAGGTAAAAGCCATCCATTTTGGACAGGAAGAAGTAAAACTATCTCTATTCACAAATGACATAATCTTGTATATAGAAAATTCTAAAGAATCTAGTAAAAAAAACTATCAAAAGTAATAAACGAGTTCAACAAGATTGCAGAATACAAGATCAATGTAAAAAGATTGTATTTCTAGACTGATCTAGGGGGCATTCCAAGATGGCCGAATAGAAACAGCTCCAGTCTGCAGCTCCCAGCATGATCGATGCAGAAGATGGGTGTGATTTCTGCATTTCCAACTGAGGTACGTGATTCATCTCACTGGGACTGGTTGGACAGTGGGTGCAGCCCACAGACGGCAAGCCAAAGCAGGGTGGGGCATCACCTCACCTGGGAAGCACAAGGGGTCGGGGTATTTCCCTTTCCTAGCCAAGGGAAGCCATGACAGACTACCTGGAAAAATGGGACACTCCTCCCCAAATACTGTGCCTTTCACAAGGTCTTAGCAACTGGCAGACAAGGTGATTCTCTCCCATGCCTTGCTCTGTGGGCCCCACGCCCATGGAGCCTTGCTCACTGCTAACACAGCAGTCTGAGATTGATCTGTGAGATGGCAGCATGGTTGGGGTAGGGACGTCTGCCATTTCTGAGGTTTGAGTAGGTAAACAAAGCAGCCTGGAAGCTCAAACTGGATGGAGCCCACTGCAGTTCAACAAGGCCTACTGCCTCTAGACTCCACCTCTGTGGGCAGGGCATAGCTGTACAAAAGGCAGCAGGCAATTTCTGCAGAGTTAAACGTCCCTGTCTGACAGCTCTGAAGAGAGTAGAGGTTCTCCCAGCACAGCGTTTGAGCTCTGAGAACAGACAGACTGCCTCCTCAAGTGGGTCCCTGACCCCCATGTAGCCTAACTGGGAGACACCTCCCAGTAGGGGCTGACAGACACTTCATATAGGTGGCTGCCCCTCTGGGACGAAGCTTCCAGAGAAAAGATCAGGCAGCAATATTTGCTGTTCTGTAGCCTCTGCTGGTGATACCCAGGCCAGCAGGGTCTGAAGTGGACCTCCAGCAAACTCCAACAGACCTGCAGCTGAGGGACCTGACTGTTAGAAGGAAAACTAACAAACAGAAAGGAATAGCATCAACATCAACAGAAAGTCATCTACACCAAAACCCCATCTGTAGGTCACCAATATCAAAGACCAAAGGTAGATAAAACCACAAAGATCAGGAGAAACCCAGAGCAGAAAAGCTGAAAATTCTAAAAATCAGAGCACCTCTTCTCCTCCAAAGAATCGCAGCGCCCTGCCAGCAATGGAACAAAGCTGGATGGAGAATGACTTTGACGAGTTGACAGAAGTAGGCTTCAGAAGGTCGGTAATAACAAACTTCTCCGAGCTAAAGGAGGATGTTCAAACCCATCACAAAGAAGTTAAAAACTTTGAAAAAAGATTAGACAAATGTCTAACTAGCATAAACAGCATAGAGAAGACCTTAAGTGACCTGGTGGAGCTGAAAACCATGGCACGAGAACTTCGTGACGCATGCACAAGCTTCAATAGCCGATTCAATCAAGTGGAAGAAAGGGTATCAGTGATTGAAGATCAAATTAGTGAAATAAAGCAGGAAGACAAAGTTAGAGAAAAAAGAGTAAAAAGAAATGAACAAAGCCTCCAAGAAATATGGGACTATGTGAAAAGACCAAATCTACATTTGATTGGTGAACCTGAAAGTGATGGGAAAAATGGAACTGAGTTGGAAAACACTCTTCAGGATATTATCCAGGAGAACTTCCCCAATATAGCAAGGCAGGCCAACATTCAAATTCAGGAAATACAGAGAACACCACAAAGATATGCCTCAAGAGGAACAAACCCAAGACACATAATTGTCAGGTTCACCAAAGTTGAAATGAAGGAAAAAGTGTTAAGGGCAGCCAGAGAGAAAGGTCAAGTTACCCACAAAGGGAAGCCCATCAGACTAACAGTGGATCTCTCGGCAGAAACCCTACAAGCCAGAAGAGAACGGGGGTCAATATTCCACATTCCTAAAGAAAAGAATTTTCAACCCAGAATTTCATGTCCAGCCAAACTAAGCTTCATAAGTGAAGGAGAAATAAAATCCTTTACAGACAAGCAAATGCTGAGAGATTTTTCACCACCAGGCCTGCCTTACAACAGCTCCTGAAGGAAGCACTAAACATGGAAAGAAACAACCAGTACCAGCCACTGCAAAAACAGTCCAAATTGTAAAGACCGTTGATGCTATGAAGAAACTGCGTCAATTAACGGGCAAAATAACCAGTGAATATCATAATGACAGGATCAAATTCACACATAACAATATTAACCTTATATGTAAATGGGCTAAATGCCCCAATTAAAAGACACAGACTGGCAAACTGAATAACAAGTCAAGACCCATCAGTGTGCTATATTCAGGAGAACAATCTCACGTGCAGACGCATATAGGCTCAAAATAAAGGGATGGAGGAAGATCTACCAAGCAAATGGAAAGCAAAAAAAAAGCAGGGGTTGCAATCCTAGTCTCTGATAAAACAGACTTTAAACCAAAAAAGATGAAAAGAGACAAAGAAGATCATTACACAATGGTAAAGGGATCAATTCAACAAGAAAAGTTAACTATCTTAAATATATATGCACCCAATACAGGAGCACCCAGATACATAAAACAAGTCCTTAAAAAACTACAAAGAGACTTAGACTCCCACACAATAATAATGGGAGACTTTAACACCCCACTGTCAATATTAGACAGATCAATGAGACAGAAGGCTAACAAGGATATCCAGGACCTGAACTCGGCTCTGCAACAAGCAGACCTAGTAGACATCTACAGAACTCTCCACCCCAAATCAACAGAATATACTTTCTTCCCAGCACCACTTCGCACTTATTCTAAAATTGACCACACAATTGGAAGTAAAGCACTCCTCAGCAAATGTAAAAGAACAGAAATCACAACAAACTGTCTCTCAGACCACAGTGCAATCAAATTAGAACTCAGGATTAAGAAACTCACTCAAAACCACACAACTACATGGGAAACTGAACAACTTGCTCCTGAATGAGTATTGGTAAATAACGAAATGAAGGCAGAAATAAAGATGTTCTTTGAAACCAGTAAGAAAAAAGACACTATATACCAGAATCTCTGGGACACATTTAAAGCTGTGTGTAGAGGGAAATTTATAGCACTAAATGCCCACAAAAGAAAGCAGGAAAGATCTAAAATTGACACAAACAAATGGAAGAATATTCCACGCTCATGGGTAGGAAGAATCAATATCATGAAAATGACCATACTGTCCAAAGTAATTTATAGATTAAATGCCATCCCCATCAAGCTACCAATGACTTTCTTCACAGAATTGGAAAAAACTACTTTAAAGTTCATATGGAACCAAAAAAGAGCCCACATTGCCAGCACAATCCTAAGCAAAAAGAACAAAGCTGGAGGCATCATGTTACCTGACTTCAAATTATACTACAAGGCTACAGTAAGCAAAAACAACATGGTATTGGTACCAAAACAGATATATAGACCAATGGAACAGAACAGAAGCCTCAGAAATAGCACCACACATCTACAACCATCTGATCTTTGACTAACCTGACAAAAACAAGAAATGGGGAAAGGATTCCCTATTTAATAAATGGTGCTGGGAAAACTGGCTAACCACATGTAGAAAGCTGAAACTGAACCCCTTCCTTACATCTTATACAAAAAGCAATTCAAGATGGATTAAAGACATAAATGTTAGACCTAAAACCATAAAAACCCTGGAAGAAAACCTAGGCAATACCATTCAGGACATAGGCATGGGCAAGGACTTCATGATTAAAACACCAAAAGCAATGGCAACAAAAGCCAAAATTGACAAATGGGATCTAATTAAACTGAAGAGCTTCTGCATGACAAAATAAACTACCATCACAGTGAACAGGCAACCTACAGAATGGGAGAAAATTTTTGCAATCTACTCATCTGACAAAGGGCTAATATCCAGAATCTACAAAGAACTCAAACAGATTTACAAGAAAAAAAACAAATGACCCCATCAAAAAGTGGGTGAAGGATATGAACAGACACTTCTCAAAAGAAGGTATCTGTGCAGCCAACAGACACATGAAAAAATACTCATCATCACTGGTCATCGGAGAAATGCAAATCAAAACCACAATGAGATACTATCTCTCATCAGTTAGAATGGCAATCATTAAAAAGTCAGGAAACAACAGATGCTGGAGAGGATGTGGAGAAATAGGAAAGCTTTTACACTGTTGGTGTGAGTGTAAATTAGTTCAACCATTGTGGACAACAGTGTGGTGATTCCTCCAGGATCTAGAACTAGAAATACCATTTGACCCAGCAATCCCATTCCTGGGTATATACCCAAAGGATTATAAATCATGCTACTATAAAGACACATGCACACATATGTTTATTGCGGCACTATTCACAATAGCAAAGACTTAGAACCAACCCAAATGTCCATCAGTGATATACTGGATTAAGAAAATGTGGCACATATACACCATGGAATATTATGCAGCCAAAAAAAGGATAAGTGCATCTCCTTTGCAGGGACATGGATGAAGCTGGCAACCATCATTCTCAGCAAACTATCACAAGGACAGAAAACCAAACACTGCATGTTCTCACTCATAGGTGGGAATTGAACAATGAGAACACTTGGACACAGAGTGGGGAACATCACACACCAGGGCCTGTCGTGGGGTCGGGGGAGGGATAGCATTAGGAGAAATAACTAATGTAAATGATGAGTTGATGGGTGCAGCAAACCAACATGGCACATGTGTACCTATGTATCAAAACTGCACATTGTGCACACATACCCTAGAACTTAAAGTATATAAAAAAAGATTGTATTTCTACATACTTGTAATAAACAAATCAAAAATAAAATTATGAAATTAATCCTATTACAATAGCATCAAAAAGAATAAAACACTTAGGAATAAACTTAAAAGAAGAATAAAACTTGGAAAACTACAAAACACTGTTGCAAGAAATTAAAGGGAAATCTTAATAAATTTTAAAAATCTCATTTTCTTAGATTGGAAGCCTTGATATTGCTAAGATGACAATACTTTCTAAATCGATCTACAGATTCAGTGTAATTTCTATCAGATCCTAGCTGACTGCTTTGTAGAAATTGATAAGCTGATTCTAAAATTCATATGGAATTGCAAGGAATCTAGAAAAGCCAAAAAAATCTTGAAAAAGAAGAACAAAGTAGGAGGACCCACACTTCCAGATTTTGAAAGTTACTCTGAAGTAACAGTAACCAAGACAGTGTGATATTGGCATAAAGATAGATATATAGCTCAATGGAACAGAATTGAGAGTCCAGAAATAAACACATGTATTTATGGTCATCTGATTTTCAAGAAGGGTGCAAGACCATTCAACAGGGAAAAGATAGTCTTTTCAATGAAGGCACTGGAACAAGTGGATAGTCACAGGGAAAATAATTAATTTGGACACTTACTGCATAACATATACAAATAATTAACTCAAAATGGATCAAGATCACAATGTCAAAACTAAAACTATACAATTATTGGAATAAAACACAGAGATAAATCTTCATGACTATGGATTTGGCAATGGAGTCTTAGATCTGACACCAAACATATGAGCAATGAAAAAAAAATGGATTGGATTTTATCAAAATTGAAAACTTTTGTGCATCTAAAGACACTATCAAGAGAGTAAAAAGACAGCTTATGGAATGGAAGAAAATATTTATAGATCATATATCTGATAAGGGACTTGTATCCAGAATACACAGAACTCTTACAACTCAACAATAAAAGGACAAATAGTTCAATTTAAAAATGGGTAAAAATCGTGAATAGAAATTTCTCCAAAGAAGATATACAAATGGCTAATAAGCACATGAAACAGTGCTCAGCATCCATAAAAACCACAAGGAGATACCACTTCACCCTAACATTGCTAATTTAATTTTAAAAAAAGAAAATAACTTGTTGGTGAGGATGTGGAGAATTCAAGACCCTCATACACTGCTGGAGGAAA
Source organism: Homo sapiens (assembly GCF_000001405.40). Taxonomy (NCBI): domain Eukaryota; kingdom Metazoa; phylum Chordata; class Mammalia; order Primates; family Hominidae; genus Homo; species Homo sapiens. Next base: position 212,384 of record NW_003315956.1, on the reverse strand, counting down.
TGTAAAATGTTGCAACCGCTTGGAAAACAGTCTGAAAGTTCCTCAAATGATTGAGCATAGAGTTGCCATATGACCCAACAATTCCACTCCAAAGTATGGATGCAAGAGAAATGAAAACATGTCTACACAAAAACTTGTACTTGAAGGTTTGTAGCAGCATTATTCATAATAGCCAAAAGGTGGAAACACCTCGAATGTTCATAACTGATGAATGGATAAACTAAATGTGATATATCCATACAATGGAATATTGTGCAGTCATAAAAAGGAATGAAATACTGTTACATGCCACAAGATGGATGAACTTTGAAACCGTTATGCTAAGTGAAAGAAACCAGTCGCAAAAGGACCACATATTATATGATTCCATTTCTATAAAATGTCCAAATAGGCAAATATTTAGAGACAGAAAGTAGATTAGTGCTTGCTTAGGCATAGGGGAATAGGGAGTTGATAATTAAAGTGTACACAGTTTCCTTTTCAGGTGATGAAAATGTTCAGATATTGTTGTTGGTGATGGTTTCATATATCTTTGAGTATACTTTATTTAATATTGATTTTTTTGAATAAAACCATTGAATTGTACACTTTAAATGAATGAATCATATGTGGATGATATCTCAATAAAGCCACTTAAAAAAAAGAAAAAGAAAGTCCCCAGGTCCAGCCCACACTTAAGGGGATGAGATTATGTGTAGGCATGAGTATCAGGAGGAGATCATTGGGGACCATCTTAGAATTCTGCCTACCACATGCATGAAAAAGAAGAGGTAGAAGTGAATCTTCTTTTCATGGGTGCAGAAGAGCAAAACGATTATCATTTTGTGGTATGTTGTGTCTTCATCCACTAATAAAATATGGCCCAGTGATATCCTGGGCCCTGATCAATCAAAGGCCCTGATAAGAATGAGCAACTTTTCCTTCAATGGAGGGGTTAGCTAAGAAGTGGTAAATAATTGAGTGGGATATGGTTAGGGCCAGAGTTGTGAGTAGTATTGGACCATCCTTAATCATCTCCTTTGAATTTTTATACATGATAAGGTAGGCATTATCATCCTCATATAATATACAGAAATTAAATATACCAATGTCACAAAGCTTAGAAGCGGAAGTATCAACATTCAAATCTAAGTCTTTCTGATTTCAAAGAACATTTTAGTTCTTATACATCAGTGCTAAGCAACCCTCTTTTTTTCTTGGTTTGAGAGCTAATTTAGGAAAGATTAACATGGTTACTATATTTTTTCACCAAGCAAACTAAAAATGACTTTATTGAATCTCAACGGGGAGGGGGGGAAATGTGTATTCATACAATTTATATTACCTACTTTACTGAATAGAAGAATGCCAATAAGAAAATTGGCTCTGTTTTTAGCTACTAAAATAGTAATATCTGTGTGCATTTAAGAAGTATAACAGACAACAGTATTTTAATCTTTTATACTTGCATTTGGATGGTACTTTAGAGATCACTAAATGTGTTTATATGTATTACCTTGTTTATTTCTCAGAACATACCTTACAAGATGGTTATCATTACCAGCCAATTTTGAGGAGGAAAAACCGAAATCTGAGAGGTAAAATAATTTGCCCAAGGTTACTCAAGTTTAACCACAGCTGAGATAAAGTTGGTTCATTTGGTTCAATTCAATATTTACCAAATGTATTAGTCAGGATGCCTATGGCTGCAAGTAAAAGAATACTACATTAACATTTACTTAAGCAATAGATACATATAATCACCTTGCATTTTTTTTTATTATTATACTTTAAGTTTTAGGGTACATGTGCACAATGTGCAGGTTTGTTACATATATACATGTGACATGTTGGTGTGCTGCACCCATTAACTCGTCATTTAACATTAGGTATTTCTCCTAATGCTATCCCTCCCCCCTCCCCCCACCCCACAACACGCCCCGGTGTGTGATGTTCCCCCTCCTGTGTCCATGTGTTCTCATTGTTCTATTCCCACCTATGAGTGAGAACATGTGGAATCACCTTGCATTCTAAGAAATCTGTTGGTAGGTAGCTCCAAGCTGAGTGCAGTGGCTCTACAATGTCATCAAAAGCCTAGATAGAAAGATCCTATCTTTCTGATTTGCCATGAGGATGTTGGATTTTGGTCCTTGAGCTTTTAGTCTCATAGCTGAAAGGTGCTGCTCAGCTTCAAATATGATATTTTCATTTCAGTGCCCCAAGCAAGGAAAAGGGAGAAAGCATGGTCACATACAACAATCCTCTAACACTTTCTCCTATTATGAAGAAAACATTCCCAGAAACCCCTCTTTAATCTCAGTAAGTCACAAGTTCATCTCTTGCTAGATGATGGCTGGGAAAATATCTGGAAAGAGGTATGGGATTACTATATCTGCTTTAGACCAATCATAAGTCATCCTGTGAGGCTGGAGGAAGCCTACCTCCCTGAGATCAAAGGGTTTTCATCATGCAATTGAGTAAACCAAGATTCTGTTATTGGGAGGAAGGTAGGTGGCAGGTCGGTTGGGTAGACAGCCATGTTCACCAGGCTGCACTATCCCTGGGGAGAAGGGTTGAGTAACACATGGCTCCACATGACTCAACACGGATGTTCCTCTCCTGCGGTTGTACTCCACTCTCAACCCCCAGTGGGGTAGGAAAGAACAAGACATATAGCACAATGTTGTGCAGCCCCACCACTGACCACTGTCAGTTTCCACAAAGGGCTGGCACTAAGTTTCTCTGGCTACTCTGAAATGGGCTGGACATCAATGGTTATCCTTCTGCCAGTGTGTAGGCTCCCCCATCACATCCAATTTTCCTCTTTAGCACATTCTGCACTAAGCTGTCAGAAAAATATTTTCAAAACATAATCATAGCAGGGTAAAAAGTTACCTCATAACCTGTTCAAAACCCTTTAATCACTGGCCTTTGTTCTACAATAAAGATCAAAACCTTAAGGTAGACAAGGCCCTGCATGGCTGACCTCTGGCTACTTTTTTTTTCAGTCCCATTTCATGCTTCCTTAGAAAAGAGTTCCCCCAACAGATTAGGCCCTTTAATAATATACTTCCAAGACCCAGTGAAGTGTTTCTTGACCTCACTTACTATAGTGTGCAATTTTAAAATTATTTTTGTGATTGTTTGATTAATGGCAGATTTCTCTCCTAGAGTATAAGCACTATAAAGACAGGAACTTTCTTTTTTGGTTCCCATTTGCAGCAGACATTGATTGCTAATGAACTCCCAATATCTAGTTTCTAGTTTTTCTTTAGAAAAAGAATCCTAGGCTGGGTGTGGTGGCTCATGCCTGTAATCCCAGGACTTTGGGAGGCTGAGGCAGGTAGATCACTTGAGCCCAGGTGTTCAAGACCAGCCTAGGTAACATGGCAAAACCCCATCTCTACAAAAAATTAGATGAGCATTGTGGCATGCACCTGTAATTTCAGCTACTCAGGAGGCTGAGGTGAAAGAATCATCTGAGTCTGGGTGGTCAAGGCTGCAGTGAGCCATGATCATGCCACTGCCTGGTCAACAGGGTGACATCTTGTGTCAAAAAAAAAAAAAAAAAGAATTCTAGATTTATTGAGGGCAGTGATGCACCCAGCTAAAATACTACATATCCCAGCTTCTCTGCCCATCCCAGCTTCCCTTGCAGCTAGATGTGGTCATATGGCTAAGTTCTGGCCAATTAGATTTAATTAGATTGTAGTGTGGTAGTTCTAGGAAGTCTCCTTAAAAGGAAGGGCAGGAGCCCCTCTTTATTTCTTTCTGCTTGTGGGAATTTGAATACTGGAGCTGAATCTGGAGCAGCCAATTTAGACCATGAGAGGCCATGCCAAGGATGGGAGAATAGCAAGCTAGATAAAGCCTGGGTCCTTGACCACCCTGCAACTGCCATACAAGTCCTGGGATGAGTGCCTACCTCTAGACCACGTCATGTGTGAGAAAAATAAAATTAGATTCTTTAAGCCACCATTTTAGTTTTTTCTTTCTGTCACATGCCATCAAGCTTGATAACAAATACAATATTGAATCATCTAGCTTGTGCATAGTAGAATCTCAGTAAACATCCATGGAAGGACGAAGGGAAGGAAAGAAGGCAGGAAGGCAGGCTGTGGTAGAGAATAAGTGTCACATATCATAAATGTGTAAGCAAAAACTATGACAATCTAGAAATTGATCCATCTAAGATAATTAGGAAAATTCTTGAATTTGGATCTTCTGATTTGTTTCATTGCTTCCATAACTCACTGTATGTACCTCTTTGGTGGTACTGCCATGCTGGTTGCTGTTGTTTTATTCCATAAGTAATGTATGCTCACTGTAAAAAGAATGGTTTTTGAACATATAGAGGGATATAAAGTGAAATTAAAAATTGTCCTGTATGCCAGAGTCCCCAAAGCCAAGCCTTCAGAGATAACCAGTCATCCAGCATGCTTCCAGAAATGTTCTGCTCATATGTAAGCATATGTATCTTCTCTCCATATATATGTATAAATAACTCTTGTTACTCAGATGGGATTGTATCACTTAGGCTGTTCTGCTCCTTGCTCTTTTCTCCTAATCATGTGCCTCTGGCCACCTCCAGCCTGTTTATAGTAGTCTGTTTTGGTGTTTATCATATACTAGACAGCAGCCTCATTAGAAGTACGTTCTGTGCTTCCTCATCTTTGAAGTTCTAGAACCTAAAACAGGTGCTTAATAAATAGTGCTAAATGAATGCTGAGGAAATAGTTAAGTCGGGCCTTGAAGTTGACGCAAAGCAAGTGACAAAGGTGCAATTTTCCTCACTGACAGGATGTTCTTCTTTTAAAGACAGCCTTATGGTCACTGGACACATTATTCTCATGTCCCTGAGTCTCCTAAGGACTTTTCAACAAGCCACAAGCATTGGTGCTTCAGAACAGGGAGCATCTGGAAGTGTTAAATGAGTTAAACTTCTCAGCTGGAGCTAGTGGAGCTGCCCAAGACACAGAAAGAAGAAAAATAAAATAAAAAGAGCCAGACACTTAAATTAAACTAAAGTGCTGGCTCCCTGCATCCCAAAGCCTCCCTTGGGGTCTCATTAAAATGCAGCTCTGGAGAAGGAGAAAGAGCCTCCACCGGCCACAAGGGGAAGGCTCCGTTTAGGCCAGTCTGAGGGAAATTATTGAACCTTTTTTTTTTTTTTTTTTTACTATTAAAGGGCACTAAAAAAAGATTCATAGCAAGTCTCAGACCTCTGAGGTGTTGGCACTTTCACAAAGAAGACTTGTGTCTGGAAGTAAAACTGTGAGACACAATAAAAGGGAGAATATAGCTATTCCTGGCCCCCTTTTCCAAAAAATTTGTATTGCTTTTATGTTCTGCCCATTTTAAGTTTTCATTTATTGGTTGTCTTAGTTCTTTTGTGCTGCTATAACAGAATATTGCAGACTGGGTAATTTATAATGAACAGAAATGTATTGACTTACAGTTCTGGAGGCTGGGAAGTCCAATATCAAGGTGTTGGCAGGTTTGGTGTCTGGTAAGGGCCTTGTGTCTATGCCCAAGATGATGCCTTGAGTGCTGCATCCTCCAGAGAGGAGCACTGTTCCTCACATGGCAAGGGTGCAGAAGAGCCCAGAGAGCCTGCTTCTGCAAGTTCTTTTATTAAGGCATTAAACCCACCTGTGAGGGCAGAATCCTCATGGCCTAATAACCTCTTAAAGGCCCCAACTCCCATACCATTACATTGGCAATCAAATTTCAACATGAGTTTTGGAGGGGACAAACATTAAAATCAAAGCATTGGGTTACAACCTAATTTTAACAAACCTGACAGGACATTAAATTTGCTTCATTAAATCCAAATAGGTATGAATGGAAATCTATTACAGCCATGTACAAAAGGAGTGTTTACAAAACTCCTCATCTCCTCAGCAACCCCAACCACCCTCCTAACCCTCATACCTCTGATACCAATCCTGCTTTTAGGAAGAATCGAAGGCAGCACTCCTCTAGGGGAATATGAAATCAACCCTGCCCTCTGATATTCTCTGACTTTTTTGTGGCCCAGTTCTAGTAGCTACCTTCTAAGAAAGGCTGCTAGTGTTTGTTAAGCATTTGGTGGGTACTGTAGGAAAAAAATGTGCTTAAGTGGAAAACTGTGTATTATTTGGACTCTAAAGGACACCCCAGGGATTATCTGATTCTATGGAAGCTATTTTACTTCTTGATAAATTATAGATAACTGATAGCAATGAAAAATAATTCTTACCTTTAGACATGCAAATTCTTCCCTAACTGGTAGAAGTTGAACTGACTTTTCTCCTCTGCTGTGGAAAATGCTACCTTTGCCTCCATTTGCATATTCATTTCAACATTCCTTAACTCCTATAAATCTGTGTTTTTAAAATTTCTCCTTTGAAATGATTATGACATCTGGTTCTCTCATTGATTCATTAATTGATAAATCCTTAACACATTTTCATTTCTCATCTGTATGAGTCATGATTTTACCTTTTAAAAAATTGTTCTAATGAGTACACATACTAACATTTAGAATGTACACACTTTGATATATATGTGGGTACATCTATGCACTATTATACATACACAGTGCTTTAGGAGCCCAAAGGAGTAAGAATAGAGCAGGTAACATTTCAGCTTAGTCTTGAGTGGTGGATAAAAATGTACAAGGCAGACAGGTGAGATGCAGGTACTCCATAAGGAGGGAACATAAGCTACCACAGTGGAGAGACACCACAGAACTGGAGATGTTTGGGGACTAAAAGAAGTTTCAGTGAGCAGAAGGCAGGATGCAAAATGGAGGCTGAGGCAGATGAGAGACAGGAGCTAAGTCATAAAGGACCCTGGGTGCAGGGAAAGGTGTTTGGGATTAGCTTCCACTATGGTTTGAATGTGCCCCCAAAAGTTCATATATTGGAAACATAATTGCCAATGGAACAATATTAAGAAGTAGGGCCTTAAAGAGGTTATTGAGTCATAAGGGCTGAGCCCCCAAGAAGAGATTAATGTCATTATCTTAGTAGTGAGTTTGTTCTCTCAAGAGTAAATTTGTTTTCATGAGAGCAGGTTGTTATAAAAGTAAGCTTGGCTCCCTCTTGCAGTCTCTTCCACATGCATCTACTTGCCCTTCAGCTTTCCCACCATGTTATTACACAGTATGAAAGCCCTTACCAGAAGATGCTGCCATGCCCTTGGACTTCCCAGTCTCCAGATCCATGAACCAAATACACTTTTTAAAATATAAATTACCCACTCTGTTGTGTTCTGTTACAGCAGCAGAAAATGGACTAAGCTTTGAAATCACACAATGGCACTGAATGGGTTTAAGCAGACTTTTAAAATATATAATCTAATAACAGCATCTGGTCTGTTAGGATGGAAGAGAAGTAAACAACTCAGGATCCATTGTATGTGGCCAGGTTCTGCCCTGTGAACTGGGGAGCAAAGGAGGTGGAAAGAGAAAGGGAAGGGAGAGCAGTGAGAACAGGAGCCGAGATGAGATCCTGGCAGACTTTGAGTTCCATAAAACCCTCATTATTTCCTATTTAAACTAGGGCAAGTGGGTCTCTGTTGACTGACTCTTGTTATACCGTATTTTATCAGTGTTCTATGGTTCACAGAGAATATAATTATCATTTCATTCTGCAACCTGAGGAGGGTGGCATTTGAAATATATAGATGAGAAAACTGAGTCTCAGGCAGGTTCCATGGTTGAGGGAAGAGAATAGTTAGAAACCACCGTGGTGGTCCAGGAAAGAAATGACTCAGGCTTGACCAAGGCAGGGATTTTATGGGAAGGGAGGCCTGTTTGGGAGACAGAGTTGCTGAAGATGGGGAGAACAACTGGATGTAGGAGCCAGGGAAAAGGAGGCACCTAGGTCTGAGTTTCAGAGGTGGTGGTTATTCTGTTTGTTTCCCAGCAGGATAATTTGTCTTCAAATGAACTTTCTGGCACTGCTGTTTGAGTTGAAGTGGGAGCAGTGATGAGCTGGCCTCCCATACCTGCCTGCAACCTAGGCAAATTAAGCCAAATTAACTGTTAACTGTTAACAATAATAAAAGAGCCAGGCAGCTCAGTTTGTGGGTTAGTCAGTGTTCTCTAGATGGACAGAGCTAATAGGACAGATGTGTGTATCAAGGGGAGTTTATTAAGGGGTATTGACTCACACGATCACAAGGTGAAGTCCCACAATGGGCCATCTGCAAGCTGAGGAGCAAGGAAGCCAGTCCGAGTCCTAAAAACCTCGAAAGTAGGAAAGCAGACAGTGCAGCCTTCAGTCTGTGGCTGAAGGCCCGAGAGCCCCTGGCAGATCACTGGTGTAAGTCCAACAGTCCGCAATCTGAAGAACTTGGAGTGTGATATTCGAGGGCAGGAAGCATCCAGCATGGGAGAAAGATGAAGGCCAGAAGACTCAGTGAGTCTAGTCCTTCCATGTTCTTCTGGCCACTTTATTCTAGCCATGCTGGCAGCTGATTAGATGGTGCCCACCCAGATTGAGGGTGAGTCTACCTCTCCCAGTCCCCTAACTCAAATGTTAATCTTCTTTGGCAACTCCCTCACAGACACACCCAAGAACAACACTTTGCAACCTTCAATCCAATCAAGTTGACACTCAATATTAGCCATCACAGTTGGTGAAAATTCTTATCTCCTTTTACAGATAAGAAAACTGAGATCAGGAAAATTAAGTAACTAGACCACAAATACAATTATGGAATTATGGAGTTCAATTGAGCAATGAATGATTCCTGAATTGGGCAGCCCCCAGAATCACTGCAGATTTGGAGAAACTCCAGGAATGCCTCGTGGTCAGAAAAAGTTTATAGACAACTAAAAGAAGTGACATACAGAAATCAGAAGTGAGGTACAGAAACAACTGGATTGGTTACAGCTCGGTGTTTGCCTTATTTGGACACAGTTTGAACACTCAGCAGTCTATGAGAGGTTGAAGTGTGGCTGCTGGATTGACTAAGATTCAGCTATTGTTACAGATGCATACTCCTAAGTTAGGTTTTCAATCTTATCTACCTATTAAGTTAGGTTGTGGTTCACCCATAAGGACTGAAATATTGAAGTATGGAGTCCTTCTCAGGCCCTATTTAGTTTGCTTTAACAATTCCCCCCTTTTGGTCACTTTCTCAATTTTGAGAGCTTGACCAACCAAAACTTTAGTCATTGATGTCACTATCACCATCATAAATGTACTTATTTGGTCTTGAAACCCACTGGGAAAGAGTAGAACAGTCAGTTTTGCAAAGGTAGGAACAAGGACTTTTGTAGAGGGTACCTCCTTGTGCTGGAACATCCTGTTTACAGGAGAATAACAAAATCTGGTCTGGTCTAGGATCTATGTATTTCATTAAAGTCTTAGTTGATTATGTCACATTTAGCATGAATGACTCTGTCTTGGTTTGGTTTGATCTGTTGGGGCCTAATACACGAGCTCAGTCCAAAACAATGGCCTTCCACAATTTTGTTTTAAAAATTCCCCTTTTTTGGTCAGGTTCCTACTTAGATGAGAGTATGACCAAAACTGAGGGCCTTAGCACCACTCTCAGTTACCATGATTTTGGGTTTCTGGTCTCAGCATGTCATTCATAGGTTACAGTGTCCTCATGGCCACACATTTCTTTTAGCTCTGGTCATTTCAGTTGAAGAGAGACCATTTGACACATGTAATGTAACATATTTAAACATCTTTAAGGCCATTCTGTCTACTGCACTTAGAAAACACAAAAAGACCCATTCACTGGAGATTTGTTTTTCCTGTTTTTGTTTTCATAGGATTCAGGACATGCTACCCCAAAATATGGCACTTTGGCATTTGAGAAAACAGCAGAAGCAGGAAGGTTACTTTCACCTTCTCCTCAGCCTTCTCCCCTGAGGGAGGTCATAAAACTGTCATTCCAAAGGTTCCTTCCCTAAACCTGGAGGAAAGTAATATCCTCATTCTTGAAGACACAGGAACACAGAGAAGAATCTGAATAAACAGGCTTTGCTAAATTTTCCCATTTGTTACCATGAGATTGTACCCCTTTTGTCCAATCTTATTTCTCTATACCTATCCACTTCTTCATTAAACTTAACATAAAAATACACAGTTTTCCCTGTCTCTTTGGGTCAGTATTTCTGAAATCTTTCATAACATGTGAAACTTAATATTAAATAAGTTTGTATGCTTTTCTCTTGTTAATTTCTCTTTTGTTATAGGTGCCCCAGCCTTAAACTAAGTGTTGAGTGAGAAAAGGTATTTTTCTCCCTATAGTTTCACACTTTGCTAAGTGCTTTGGCTCAATGGGATCAAAATCATGATTTCCTAATTCAGGGATCAGCAAAACATGGCCCATGATTTGGCCTGTGGCCTCTTCTTTTTTTTTGGCTCCCAAAGTAAGAATAGTTTTCACATTTTTAAATTATTTTAATTTTTTTCTTTTTCTTTTTAAGCGACAGAGTCTTTCTCTGTTGCCCAGGCTGAAGTACAATGATACAATCATAGTTCCCTGTAACCTCAGACTCCTGGGCTCATGTGATCCTCCCAACTCAGCCTCCTGAGTAGCTGGGACTACAGGTACATGCCACCATGCCTGGCTGGTTTTCACATGTTTAAATGGTTGGAAAAAAACAGAATATTTCATGACCCATGAAAAGATTATGAAATTCAAATTTCAGGGTCTTTAAGTAAAGTTTTATGGGAACACAGTCATGCTCATTCATCTGTGTATTGTCTGTGGGGGCTTTGGTGCTAAGCAGCAGAATTGAGCCATTGCAACAGAAACCAAATGGGCCACAAATCTGACAATATTTACTATGTGGCTGTTGACAGAAAAAATTACCAACACCACGCCCATCAACTACTACCAGCTGGGGCCAATATGGAACTGCTTCCCATCTTCTCTGGCCTTTACACGTGGATTACAACTAAAATCCAGCTGAGATCTTTCCTGCTTTCTGTATTCAGCCACCAACAAGGCTTTTGTTCTGAGAGTATCATTTTATTTGTTTTTTACTTGTTTAAATAAAATAAACCCAATCTGGTTTTAATATTTGAAATTTTTTTTTATGTCAGCTCATTTTCTGCAGGGTGATGTTTTATAACTACATTGTATTTCCTCAAAAGGGAGTCACCAATCCCCTACTCTTGAACATGTAGATTTTAAACCTTTTATTATAAATAATGGTGTGAGGGATATCCTTGTACACATGACAGAAGAAAGAATTTGTAATTTAAGCCTCTGTTTCCTTCTATGGAGAGTGACATCTGATAGCAGGAGAGTTCTGTATTTTTCTGAATTCCAGGATGGATTTGGGTGTGAATGGCTGGAGGTAGGAGTGAGAACAGGCAGCAAAACAAAAGGATGAAAGCGCAGAGAAGAGTGAGCAGGAACCAGGACTGCATGCTCTGAAAGAGAAGCACAGGGGTGGTGGGGCACAAAAGGGATTTGGGGTAACAGAAACATCGGATGAAGACTCATAATTTGCTATTAATGTGCTGTAAACTCCCTCTTTTATCTCCTCTACAAAATCTTCAGTAAAGTCTTGGGGGTGTCCAATCTTTTGGCTTCCCTGGGCCACATTGGAAGAAGAAGAATTGTCTTGAGCCACACATAGAATACACTAACAACAGCTGACGAACTAAAAAGATATAAAAAATCACAAAAAAATCTCACAATGTCTTAAGAAAATTTATGAATTTGTGTTGGGCCGCATTCAAAGTTGTCCTGGGCTTCAAGCGGCCCACAGGCCATGGGTTGGACAAGTTTGGTCTACATTGTTCATTGACTTGTGTTTCAAGTAGAGTATTTGGGGGAACTTGAAGCGCTACGGAGTTACATCCAGGTTGACATGGGGTCAGAGCCAAGCAATTGCAGAAGGAGGGGCTGAGGATGAGGGGACCTTGGCTTAAGCTGCATGCTGCTTTTCCTCTATCACTAATATTTCTTTGGGTAAATTCTTAGAACTGCAATTGCTAGGTCAAAGGGCATCTTCTTAAAGCTTTAACAGACATTACCAAGTTTCTTCTCCTGGAGAGTTGTAAATTGTAAATTGGTACAGCAGCAGCCTTGTATAAAAGTAGCATTTCATTGCATCCTTGCAAACATTGTCATGGCTTTAGCCTCTATCAGTGTGTGGTCCTGGCCAGTTTGTCCTCAGACCTCTTTCTCACCCTTTGCTTTCTCTGCTATGTATTAAAGACGAGAGGTGACCACAGCAGGCTGCATTTATCCAGCTTTATCCACCTAGGTGTGGCCAATGGGCAGTATCAATGGGACATTGGAAAGTAAAAGGAAGAGGGAAGCCAAGGTATTTCTCTCCCTCCCTCTCTACTGGAGAAGACATATCTGGTAGTTGCTGCGTTCCCTGGAGTGTGGAGTGAGGAGTGTCCCCAGCCCCTGGCTCTGGCAACACCACCTCCTCTTCCTGTCCTTTCAGCCTAAAGGTGATCATCTTTTCCTGTCATTGCTAATTTTCTCTAAGTTACTTCATGGTCCTCTGTTTACACTCTTGGCTTTTTCCATCACCTGTGTAACCAAGACCCTGAATTAAAATCCTGTCTTGGTAAATATGTGAAATTGTTCCTGTTTCCTGGTTGTACTGCAACTGATAAGGCCAGTTTCATGGTAAAAAATAGCGTGTTATCCTTTTGATTGTATGTTTTTTGTTTTGCTATTCTTGAGGTTGAATCTCTTTCCTATGTATTTACCTTTTGTCTTCTTTGTTTGTGAATTGCCCGTTTATGTCCTTTGCCTATATTTCTATTTCTAATTGACATTCATCTATTTTTTATTAAGTTCTCTTCCTGTATTGAGACTCAACCTTTCTTGCATGTCTTATACAGTACAAATATTTTTCCAGTGCTTCATTAACCTTTTAATTTTATTTGTAAGACTTGGTATACAGAGCCTTTCAGTTTTATCTAGTAAATCTCTTCGTCTTTTTTCTGTATGCTGCTTCTTTTATTTTTATCCTTTGAAAGATCTTCCATACTCCAAATGAAACAATTTTTTTCCCAACTCTCTTATGGTTCCATTTTTATCATTTAACTCTTTAATCCATTTAGATTTTTTACTCAATGTGTCAAATAAGAAAAAAAAACTCTTTTTTTTCTAACTCTAACCTTTATGTTTTCCTCAATATAAAACCACATGTCCTGATACCATTGCCTGAGTAATTAATCCTCTCCCATGGTTGGAAATGCCAACTTTGTCATTTACTAAAACTCGCACTTGAGTCTATTTGAGGATCTTTTAATGTTTTTGGGGGTTACATCTTTTTTAACCCTTCCTGTCCCATTTTAATTTTTTTTACTCCTTCATTGCCTTAAATCTTCTTTCTGTCCAAAGAAAAATTTCACTAACTTAAAAAAAAATTATCCCCCAAACCACATATTTTACAAAATTCTGTATTCAACCCAGACATTCACTGGCCACATTCTCTGGTGGGCTATTTGATTATGACATTGAATGTTTAAATTGGTAATACTTTGGAATCTGATTTCCCTGAAAATTGATGTCTTTAAACTTTAGCCTCACATATTCTCCCTCTCCAAATCTCAGAATCTTCAAGAAACCTCCAGATGTGTTCATGTGACAGACTAGTGTGTCCATACCTAAGATTTATGGCTTCAGGGAAGGTGCAAGCATCAGGTTCAGCCAGATGTTCCAGGCAGCACACTTCTTCCATGGGAGCGCACTCATCACAGAGAGATCTTGAGAGAGTAAATAAAGTTTAGTTCATACATTAACCGGCCTGATGAATGCCTTCTTCAAATGGTAGCCTGTTGTCTTAAATCATTCATGCTGCTATAACAAAATACTTGAGACTAGGTAATTTTAAGGAACAGAACTTTATTTCTCACAGCTCTGGAAGCTGTGAAGTCCAAGATCAGGCACCAGCAGCTTCCGTGTCCAGGGAGGGCCTGGTCTCTGCTTCTAAGATGGTGCCTCATTTCTGTGTCCTCCAGAGGGAATGAATGTTGTGTCCTCACATGGTGGAAGGTGGGAGGGCAAAGGGGAACTAGGGCTCTCCTTTCAACCTCTTCCATCAAAGAGTGCTAGCCCATTCATGAGGATGGGACCCTGATGACTTAATCACCTCCCAAGAGGCCTCACCAATTAATACCATCACCTTGGGGTTGAAGTTCCAATATTCAAATTTTGGAGGGGACACAAACATTCAAACCATAGCCGGTGGACTTGACAGAATTATAGACTGATATCATGGGGCTAAGAGAGGTACAGTCTAAAGGGAAATGTCAGGCACTTGTGTCAGGAGTCACCAAGACAACCTGTAGGCACAATGGTTTGTTAGACTAATAGAACTCAGAAAAGCTGTTATACTCATTATTTTGTTTATTATAGTGGAAGGATACTGATAGTAATCAGGAAAGGGATAAAGTGTGTGGGCAATGTCCAGGGAAAATCAGGTGCAAACTTTCAGGTGTCCCCTTGCAGTGGAGTTCCATGGAGATATGCTTAATTCTCCCAGCAATGATGGGGGACAACATGTGCAAAGCACTGTTCAGCAGGGGAGCTCACCTGAGCCTTGCTGTCAAGGGCTTTAGCATGTGGCACCTGCATGATGGACTGCAGCTGCTCAGCCTCAAGCCCACAAAAACACTCTTAGCAGGCACGATATTCCAAGGGCTGAGAGGTTCTCTTCCAGGGGTCTGTCAAGGGCCAGTCCCCCACAACACAGGCCATTCTTGTAATGTGTTTGGTTTAGCAGCTCAGGCCTGAGATAACTTCACTGCACAGCATGGATTCAATAAACTTGGATTTTGTTCCCAACTGTGTCATTGACTAGCTCTTACTCTAGCTTAAATCCTTTAGGTCTCAGTTTCATCATCATAGTGGCAACAACGCTTACCCTGTCTACCTTCTAACTGCACATGATCAGATGAGATAACAAGTAAAGGCACTCTGAAATAAAGGGATCCACACCCATAATCTATGTGTTCTAGTCTAAAATACTCACTTGTATATATTCTCAGAATATGGAGGGGACAGGAAAGTTCTCTGTTCTGTTCCCAAACTGTACTTTTTTGACAGGAATGACTTGGGGAAGATATATAAAAATTGACTCACTCCACAACCCTACCTCCCCAAACACACATACACACACACACACTCTCTCTCTCTCTCGCTCTCTCTGTCTCTAGAGAGAGATGATTGGCCCTACATTTCCTTTTCAAGGGACATGGTGCTTCCTTCAACACTGAAAAATAAAGGTTCTTTGAAAAAGAGGCTTTTTAAATTCATGCTAAAGTGTCAGTGACTAATCCTTTACTCTCAGCAGGTACGGGCAGAGGAAAGGCACCAGCTACAGACAAGGGACACCTTGGAATGGAAACAGATTTTGGGAAGAATGGGATGCAACACAGACAAATTGATAGTTGTGCCTAAAGTCCTGCAAGGTACCCACAGGTTGCATTAGAGGGTGGTGGAGCTTGGGATGGTACTCACACATACCAAAACCACCCCTCCCACAGTGGGTGGAAGCCTTAGAAGTCAGGATTTCCATAGTACAGAATGGTCTTGTGGAAAGCAGCCTTTTCCTCTAAATATCCACACACACAGACCCCTATACTCCAAGGATGAAGGAAATGGGACAGAAAGGAAGATGTTGACCTAGCACACACACCAGAGTGTCTGCAGAGACAGTGCTATATCAACAGGCCAAGCAGCAGCCATTGTGGGAGCTAGCCAGAGGTTGGGTGGACACATATTCAGGTGATGGAATTATCCTTGGTCTTCTTAACTACTTTTTGATTTGAAGAAATTGAGGGCAGTCAATACTGTCACCATAAAAAGGAATAAAATGGAAGAAAGCCATACCATGCCTCTCAGAACCCATCCAGCTCTTACCTCCACTGGAGTAGGAGTTCAAAGAAGACACAGCATTTTCATGACCCTTTATTCCCAATCACTCAATGCAGGTATCACCTTATAGTAAATGTACAATACATGGCTGGATGAATATCAGAAAGAAGGTCTGGACTGCCTTCTACAACAACCTTAGTAACATAATTGCTACTGTACTCAAGATAGCCCTTGGGAAAATCCAATAACATCTTTGGGCTTTTTGGAAGGCAGCATAGACAGGAGCAAAGGTTAGGCTGGGACTCAGGAGACCTGGGCTCTAATTTTGCCTCTGCCATTGGTCAGCCACCTGGCCTCAGATAAGGCAATTCCTCTCCCTGAGCCTCACTTTACTGCTTCATAAACAAAATAATGGTATTGGAAGAGATCTTTTAGGGACTCTCTGGCTCAGACTAAGATGCAAAATGCCTGTGTTCTATGTGCCAATCACTTATTTCTCTTTTCTTAATATGATACCTGACATTTGTATGGCTTCTAGCTTTTAAAGATACTTCCATATTTATTCTCCCAAGTGAAACTCCCAATAAACTTGAGAATGGTGAGCAATCCCATGTGACAGATGAGGAAATGCAGAGACTGAGTTAATTGTCTGAGTTTAAAAGGAACTGGGAATCTCCCACCAAATTGGCTAAAATTAAAAGAACAGATGAAAATTGACAAAAATGTCGAGGAACTGGAACTCTCATACATCGTCTCTGGAAATGTAAATAGGGATGGTCAGCTAGAAAAACTGTTGCATGTTATCTCTAAAGCTAAATGTACACCTACCCTACAACCCAATAGCAGAATTTATCGTGTCTTTATTCAACAAAAATGAGTGTATATGTCCACAAAAAGACAAGTTACAAAAACGCTCATAGAAATTTTATTTGCAATAGCCCCAAACTGGAAACAACCCAATTATCCATCCATAGCAATATGCATAAATAAATTTTGATGTATTTATTCAAGGAAATACAGCACAGCAAAATACAGAATGAACTACTGCTGCACACGATAATGCGGAGAAATCTCACAGACCTAACATCGAGCAAACAACACCAAAGACTATGTATCGTACGCCTCTATTTATGTGAAGCTCAAAAACAAGCTAAAATCTTCAGTGATAGAAATCAGAAGAGCAGTCACTTCTTGGAGGTGAAGACTGACAAGCAGCTTTCCGGGCTACTAAAAATGTCCTGTATCTTGATCTGAGTGGGTGATTACATAGGTCAATATAGATATTTATACATATATTTGTAAAGCTGTGCATTTAAGAGTTGTGCCTTATGCTATATGTAAATTATACCTTTATTTAAAAAAAAAACAGAGAAATGAGTGACAAACCACCTTCAGAAAAGAGAGATAAGAAAAGAAATAGAAAACAAGAAGAGAGCTGAGATTAGATCACATGGCTCCCCCTTTTTTTTTTTTTTTTTTTTGAGATGGAATCTCACTCACTCTGTCCCTCAGGCTGGAGTACAGTGGCACAATCTCAGCTCAATGCAACCTCCACCTCCTGGGTTCAAGTCATTCTCCTGCCTCAGCCTCCTGAGTAGCTGGGATTACAGGCCCATGCCAGCATGCCCAGCTAATTTTTGTATTTTTTATGGAGACAGGGTTTCACCATGTTGGCCAGGCTGGTCTTGAACTCCTGACCTAAAGTGATCCACCTGCCTCGGCCTCCCAAAGTGCTGGGATTACAGGCATGGGCCACTGTGCCCAGCCAGATGGCATGGTTCTTTACCCATATAGCAAGTAATGGCTGTGCTGTAACTTAAGTATATTAATGCTGACTTAATTTCCAAGTCTGAACTGAATTTTGTATGTACTTTTCCTTCCTATATAGTAAGAACGTAACATCAGTGAAGTGACAGGCTTATATAACAGAGAGCTATCGTACATTAAACCACATCAAAATTGTGACTCTGGCATGCTTTTAAAGAATGCCATGATGAAATAATATATAAAGAGAAGAATCTTTTTATAACGAACAGTTCTTAGCTCTTTTCTTTTCCCTTGTTTCTAAATATTGCCTTTAAAATACCTAGTTTGCTTAAAATGAGGAACATATTTCAAGGAAAGGGGGTTAATGATATGGGATAATGGAGGACAAAGGAAGAGATACCATCTTGAGGACTGTGTGGTAAAAATTAATATGGTTGTGAAAGTTGTCTGAATCAAAATGGAGTCACTTGTGTTGAACTCTGACAAAATGGAGTTAGGGAAGGCCATGAAGCAGGGTTCTCACACGAGGTTGCCTGATAATAAGCTATCACAAAAGACTGCCAAAACCACAACCTTGCACAAAGGCCATTGCATCTTCACACAAAAAATATTTTTGGGAGGACATCTGCATAGCAACTGCCTGTCCAACCTGGAACTAATGTTACCCTTGTTATTGATGTGAATAGGCAAGGATAATTGTTTCAAAACAACTTCTGTAACCTTCCTCATTTTACCTTTAAAATCCTTGCCTTTCTGAATATGCCCATAGGGTACCAAGGCACATGCCTTCTGCATTGCAATGCCCACTCCTGCATAAATTCATTGTCTTTGGAGAGTCTCTCTATTGTTACTTTAGGTTTACATGGTCACAGCAGAAAAAGAGTGCAAAGAGACAGCTGGAGTTTGTGCATCAAAAAAACCAGGTAAGCGCTTTTAGAGAACCATGTTTATTATCATCACAATGTACTATTCAGTTTGGTGGACATCACTTCTCTTTGGTGGACAGTTGCTGAAAGACTCTTTTATGGAGACACTTTTTATAAGGCTTGGGTGACTAAGAGGGGTTAGAGCAACATACCCAGGAAATACATATGAAAATTTATCTCAATAAATTCTACCTACATCTTGCTAAATATGCCAGTACTTGACAGGAAGACGGAGGAGTGAAAAAGATAGTTGCCTCCCTCTGGTTTAGAAATGGGAAAGATTCTAGCTGGGCTGGAGATGAAAGTACTCTATAAAGTGAATAGTTCTTCTTTCCAGAATGTGGACAAGAAAAGAAACCTGGAAGCGGAGGGGTGTCTGTCTTTAGCCATGGGCACAGGTCCACCTCAGGAGATCAGAAAAGCAGAGGATGGGAGGATATGAGCCACTGGCAGCAGGAGTAAGCAACACAAAGGCTCCCAGACAGAAGACACCAGGTGGTGGGTGCAGACCCGGGAATGCAGGCGCTCTGTAACAGGAGAAGCAACATCTGTGGGTACAGGTAGGGCTGAAATTGGCTGACAAATGATAAGTGAAAAGTGAATGGGAAAAGCTCCAGTGTATATGACAGGGATTTGTTCATGTACCTAAGTTGCTGTAAAGCGGCAATAACAAACACCCCTCTGTGGGCCACCTGCATCCAGTCCAGAGGGGAGGAGCTTAATGATGCCAAGGCCCCTTCAGAAATTCTGACCTGGACCCGGGCTAGTAAGCATTGCTTTGAAGCACTACCTCTCTACCTATAACATTACTGCTTTTAAAAATGGAAACAAATGCATGACAGTACGTGATATTTTGAAAAATCAAATACAAAGACTAAATCTTTTTCCTGTTCTCCTCCCCCAGAAATAAACATTATCATCAGCTTTTCATTATTCTTCTATAAATAATCTATATACTTATGTTCCCGTTTTTATTTACATGACAGCAAAATTAACTTAACAATGCACTTGAAAATCATTCTATATCAGCATATGAAGACACACCTCATTCTTTTTCATAAAATTCAGTTGTATTAATACACCATAATTTATTGAACCAGTCCCCTATTGGTTGTTTCCACTCATACAGTGTTATGTGAATAGCTCTAGCTGTATATATTTTTGTACTTTTTAATTTTTTTCTATTGAATATATTCCTAAAATTGGAGTTTCTGGGTCAACGAGTTTGTTAAAATGCTTTTTTTTTTTTTTTTTTTGAGGCAGTCTCAGTTTATCACCCAGGCTGGAGTGCAGTGGCATGATCTCTGCTCACTGCAACTTCTGCCTCCCAGGCTCAAGTGATTCTCATGTCTCAGCCACCTGAGTAGCTGGAATTACAGGCACACACCACCACATCTGGCTAATTTTTGTATTTTTAATTGAGATGGGGGTTTCACCATGTTGGCCAGGCTGGTCTCGAACTCCTGGCCTCAAGTGATCCTCCAGCCTTGGTCTCCCAAAGTGCTGGGATTACAGGCTTGAGCCACTGTGCCCAGCCAACTTTTAAATACACACACACACACACACACACACACACACACACACTCTCTCTCTCTTACACACACACACACACACACATACACATATATATGTAACTTGGCAAACAGTTTTACTTTAATTTTTTTTTGAGATGGAGTTTCACTGTTGTCACCCAGGCTGGAGTGCAATGGCGTGACCTTGGCTCACTGCAACCTCTGCCTCCTGGGTTCAAGCGATTCCCTCGCCTCAGCCTCTCAAGTAGATGGGATTACAGGTGCCCGCCACCATGCCTAGCTAATTTTTGTATTTTTAGTAGAGATGGGGTTCCATCACATTGGCCAGGCTGGTCACAAACTCCTGACCTCAGGTGATCCACATACCCCAGCCTCCCAAAATGTTGGGATTACAGGCATGAGCCACCATGCCCAGCCACTTACATTTTATTACTCTGAAAAATAGAAATTGTCTTTATCTTGATTTTAATAAGAATACTTATAACTTAAGTTTTAGTGTTCAGAAACATGACCATGATAACAATAATACTAATAGTATATGTTTGCCACTCAAAGAAACAGCAAATATCATAGGCTATTATTCTTCTGTGTATACCATGAACCAATGGACTATGCATGGGAATGAATCAAACCTCTGGCTCAGTGTTGGTATTGTGTGTTATCTTGGTCAAGTGATTTCACTTTTGGGCCTCACTTCCTCCATATATAACTAACTACACTGTTCTACTCCTTGGATAATATATTCATATCCCAAATATAGGTAACAGGCTGTACTAACTGGCACACTCTACAGACTGTTACCTAAATTTGGGATATTAATGAAGGAGTAGATCAGTTCAAAATTCAGGCATAACAGTGTGACTAGTAACCAAAAGGAAAGATCAAAGAGTTATGGTACTTGTGTTGTACCAAGGACAGATTCCTTTTAGATGCCGTTAGGAAAATATGCCACCATAGTTTCTAACTGAAGTACTGTATAGAAATGGGCATATTCTTTGACCCAGCAATTCTATTTCTAGAAGTTCACCATAAAGAGAAAATTGTGTAGGTATAAAGGGATATTTGTACAATAATATTTATTGCAACATTGTATGAAATACAAAAGAAAAAAAGGAAGAAAAAACTGGTAGAAACCTAATGCCCAAAAATAGAGGATTAATTAAATATACTGTGATACAAACACACACACATATACACACACACACTCACAATGTGATACCATGCAGCCACATGAAAAATAATTAGATCTATATTTAAAGTGGAAAGACATAGATGAGTATTGGGTCTGTTGATTTTACCTTAACTAAAGCTAATAATTAGTCTGTTACTGTTTCGTGGATATTGGCAGAAGACATGAAACTCCTGGATCAGAGACAAGGGACTTTTTAAAAACTATGGCACTGGAGCAGAATAATTATCAGTATGTTTGCATCAGCTAACATGGGGGCAATGCTACCAACCCAGATGAATGCTGTGTACAGGTGGGTTTGTATCACATTCTCTGGAAAGGGATATAAACATGCTTTTTGTGCCATGAGCTTGGGAACTCACCATTTTATTGCAAGTGGTAAGCAAACTTGCCCTTTGTCCAGGAGGGAGACGTTGCCTCGTCCCTCAAAGTTGCCCACTGCAAACATAACCCCGAGAAATGACCTTGTAATCTTAGCATACTCAGCAAAATGTGTACAAGCACAAGAGACCCATAGAGAACTCTCTCTCCCAACAAGAACATATGGTTGAGAGAAGAAAGCAGGCTGTAAATAGATATAATACATTTAGGCAGATGCCTGAAAGAATGTTTACCCAAAAGTTAATAGTGTTTTTCTCCGGGTGGTAGGAGGTCAGGTACCTCCTACCTGAGGAGTACCTTTTTTCTAAGTACTTTTTTGCATTATTTGAATTCATTTCATGAGAATATATCAAAATTGGGAAGGATCACAGTCCAGAGTGAATTCCAAGACTAATTCTTACTCAGGAACACAGGTTGATAAAATCCAGAAGCAAACCAGAGAAAAGATTGGACATCTATCAGAAATATGAGAATGGGAGGTAACGAGGAAGGTGGGAGCTGACACGTATTTGCTGGTTGTTATGCCAAGGACAGGGGAAGAGCCAAGACCCTGATCAAATTCAGTTTGATTCATCTGGGAAGCCTGAATCCATGGTGCAAATCTAGGAATAACCAGGTGCATGCAGACCATGTTTCTGCACCATCTTAGCAGATCCTCTCCCTTAGAAATGACAAGTACAAATTAAGGAGAGTCAGAAGAAAAAACCAGGGTCTCTCCCATTAAGTCAGTGCCTTTCTATATCTCTGGGCTAAAGAAGTCACTTTTCAAATATAGCGCCACCCTGTTTAAACAGCTTGTTAGGATATACAATAAAATATGAGCCATGAGATGTAATGGCAAAAACATTGTGATTCCAGCCAAATTTAGGAATTTCACTATAATATCTGTTCAATTATATCATGTTTATTAACAAATAAGACATCTGAATTATAAGAATTTTGAATGCTAATGAGTAATTTCACCTGCTTTGAAAATAACAGATTAAGTCAGTGGCATTCACTTTTGGGGGTCCTGACTTTTACGTCATCAAAGCTGTTTTTCCTGGTTGCTCCTGAGTGTGACAGTTGTTTACATAGAGTTGCCAGAAGGCTCAGTCCCAGTCTTGCCCCAGAAAAGTGATTGCTAATAATGCCGAGCTGGGGCCCAGGTGAAAGGGGCCAAGGGACTGGGGGTTGTGGGCGCTGCAGTCTTCCCTCCATGTTCCCTAGTTACCAGATTTAGAAAAGAAGCAACTGGAGTTGGAGTTGCCAGGAGAGCTGTTTGTGGAGAGCTGGAAGTTAATGCGGCAGACAGGGAGCCAGAGAAGGAAGCCAAGGACACCCCACACCAAAGAGCCAGGAGAAGAATTAGAAATGAGCACAGCCTCCTGCAGCCAGGATGCAGGTGCAGGTGCAAGGAGTGGGGTCAGGCTGGGCCAGAGCAGCAGCACTCTCCAGCAGTTATAATGCTAGCCCTGGGCTCTGGCCCCCGCCCTCTGATCCTTACAGCAGCCCCAGCTCCAGGAACTCCTGACCTTGTGCAGCAGCTCAGAGAGGGATGGGACCAGACGATCTCCTGAAGCCCCTATGGCGTTTCCATCCACCCACTGGTCATTTTGTAGGAGAGGCTCTTTCTGTGGGCAGTGGAGAGCCTGCAGGAGTATTCCCAAGTTGGGCGGCTGGGGAGCAGGGCAGATCCCTGGCAGCTGCTGCTCCCTGAACCGGAACACACCTGCCAGTCCAATTCCCTACGGAAATGACCTGGAGCAATAGGATCCATGGCCATTTCTGCTCTGCTGCTTCCTTAGGGGAAGGTTAGTAATTCCTTTTCCATGGCTAACTGAAAAATGTTAAATGTCAGGTGAAAATCAAAGGAGTCTTGATTTTCTCTCTTCACAGATTTCATTTTTCATTTTAATTATGAGAGCACTGTGTACATGTATTCTTACTATTACCCTGTCCTTGGCAACATCTGTCTTCCAAGCTCATCTCAGACAAAAACACATGCAGTGACTTCCACAGAAAAAGCCCTCAACACCTACTTTGTTGAATAAACAAATGAAACATCCAGTGTGTAAGAGCAAGAATTTGTCCCTTCTCCTTTTTGTGTCTAGGAGGATTTGAAATGACTGTCTTGGGTATGGGAGGATACCCTGCCCAATAAACTGTCTTTACCTAAAAGCTAGAATTTCATTACCAACGAAAGGCCTCATTTCCAATCCTTTTATGTGTTTTAGGTAACTAAAGGCGTCCAACAGGGATTGATGGTTCTGTCTGGCAAGGTAGGGAAGTGGCCCTTGATTTTTAGGCACCTCTGAACCTCTGGGCGTTGTCTGTAAGTGGGAAAGAAATGTTCTGCATAGTAATAGAATGGGCATTAGGAGAAAGAGAGATTAGGACAGGTTATGCTATGTTCAAGAAAAAATGAGTTTCTCATTCCCAAAGCAGCTTAATACTATACAGTGTTCAATAATTACTCCTTGCTCACTGGAGGTGAGAGAGGGAGAGAATAGATGTGTGTGCATTTTTCTTATTGCATTGAAATGTTTTCCAACTCTTTCACTTTTTTCACCCTCTCATATGTTTATGTCTTATCTCTCCAACTAGATTGTAGAAACCCTGAGGGCGGAATTAGATTAAAACCTTTGCACATTTATGGTCAAGCAGATAGAAACAAACAGCACATGGCAAACTAAAGTTAGTTCCCCAAACACAAGCCACAGTGTGGCCTGCTCTGCTCTGATGAGAGCAATGGTTTGGCTAATTGTAGTAAAATACATCCCTGCCAGGAAAGCTAGACTTAGAAAAGAACCAGGGAGACTTTTCCCATAAAATACCAGTTTGCTGCTGTCCAGTTTGATCCAGGAAACAACAAAAAAGTGACCCTCAGCCTTGCCTAGAGCCTCTGTGGGCTTGACTTTATGAAGCAGGGTAGCTCGCGGTGACTGATAAATCTTTCTTTTCTAGATTTTCTTATGAAAACGGGAAGAAAGTGACTTATTTTCATTAATCCTCTTCCTTTTCTCTGTGCCTGAGGAATACACATTTCCCCATTGATTGGGAAGAATTAAGTTTACTGGGATTGTCAATGATGTTATGAGAACAGTAAGAGGTAGCATTGTACCCTGTAGTGAAAATGCACTGGACGAGGGGACCTGAATTTGGCTCCCAGCTTCGTTTTCCAGTGGTGTGACCTTGGGTAAGCCACGGTGCACATTTGCTACAGGTAATCTATGGGGTGGCCCAATAAGTCAACGCATAGTCCTGAAGGACTCTGAATATGCAGTCCTAGAGCAGGGGTTGGCACACTAGGGCCCACAGGCCAAATCCACCTCCACCACCCATTTTTGACAAGAAAATTGTATTGGAACACAGCCACGCTTTTTCAGTCACATATTATTTCATGCTACAATGGCAGAGTTGAATGTTTGCTGCAGCGACTGTATGACTTGCACAGCTGGACATATTTATTACCTGGCCCTTTATAGAAACAATCTGGCACACCTTGTTCTAGGCTCATGCACTGACTCCTGTTCATCTTGGAATCCTAGTCCCTACATGTAGTTTTTCTTATCAGCAAAGCCCACGTGCTATAGGGACTAACTAATTATCGACTGCTTTTGAAATAAGATACCATGTAAGAGCACCATCATACCTTGGTGAGCTAAGGAGCATCTTTCTACAGAAACTCTGCCCTGTCTCAGTTTCACAGAACAAAGAGCAGGCACCTGCCTGCAATGCTGAATGGTCCTCACTTATTATTGATGCTGCTGGAGAGCAGAGGTGGGCAAAGCTCAAGCAAGCTCCAGGCAGCATGCATGTAGCCTTCTCTGCCAGCCTGCATTTGGTTTCTCTGAATTTTAAGAAATCAACTAACATGATAATTGGGCTAAGGGGCAGCAAGTGTGCAAATTCTTCCACGTTTATGGGAATGAGACACTTTCCCTAAACAATTGGAAAAGATTCCATCACTTAGTTCCTGAAGTGTTAGAGCTGGGAAAGCCTTGGACATGTTCAGTTTCCATCTTCTCACTGTGTAGACGATGAAGTGGAACCCAGGAAAGAAGAGTGATTGGCTCAGGGTCACCCAGTTGGTTAAGGACAGAGCCAGATTCAAGTCCACATGTCTTACTTTCCAGACCACTGCTCTTTCCACGCATCCATGTAGTCAACAGCCACTCATGAGGCATTTGCTTTGAACCAGGAACTGCAGTGGCTGCTGGTTATAGAGTCATGAACAAGGCAGATACCCTCCTCAGACAATGGGCCTTTGAGTTAACAGCCAGATCTTATATGCATTATACATACATTAGTACACATATCATTAACAATTGTGAGAAGTGTTGTGATGGAAGTGAACAAGGGACAATGACGGAGAATAACAGGAAAATCCTATTTGCCATACTTCCTTAATTCTGGGCAGCGTACATTTTTAAAAACATTTTGCTATTTCTGAAACCAAGATGCAACTTATAATAGATGCAGCCTGGGATGCTACTGAGTGGTACTTTTACTTTCTGAGACATCTTACAGTTGATGGTATCTTAGGTCAATAATAGAGAGTTGATAAAGCAGTCAGAGAAGACCTTTGTTCATCTAAACCAAGTCCTGGAGGCTGAGAAGGAGCCAGCTATGCCAGGAGAAGGGGAAGGAACATTTCAGACAATGGGATCAGCATGTGAGAAATGCCAAAGGCAAAAAGGAGCCCAGTGGAGACCAGGGTAGCTGGAGTGAGGATGGAGTTCCCACGAGTGCCTCGAAGAATATGTAGCAGGTCTGGCCTCGGGACCCCTTCCGTAGGGTAGGGAGGCAGCCAATGAGCAGAAATAAATGCAGAATTACAAACTGCGCCAGGGAAATGAAAAGAGAGCCATGTGTGCAACCTTATCAATAGGAAGACTTGGAGGTCATTCAGAGTCTTTCAGGTCATTCAGAGGTTTGCAACCTGTGGTCAGGAGTTTGGATTTAAACAGGAGAGTGACAAACAGCTTTGCATTTCTAACAGATTGCTTTTGAACAATTCCCCAGAAGGGAAATATAAAATCTATGTTATTTATTTATGGAACAATATTAGAATCAGGGAGTTGAGTTAGGGGGCAATTTTAGGAGTGCAGGCAAGAGATGGCCATGACTCTGATTAGGGCGGGGCAATAGAGGTGGAGAAGGGGCTGATTTGAGAGATCCTTAGATGGTGCCCCACACACCTCCCTCAATGTCTGGCCACAAGTCGGGGGGGATTATTGGGAAGAAGTGAGAGAACAAAAGCCTAGGTTTCTACAGTAGGTAGGTATGGTGTGTCTTGCTCACTTGTTTTTTTCATAGTTACACCTTCTGAGGATATTCTAAACTTTTTTTTTTTTTGGTAGAGATGGTCTGGTCTTGCCATGTTTTCCAGGCTGGTCTCAAACTCCTGGCCTCAAATGATCCTCCCACCTCCCAAGGTGCTAGGATTACAGGTGTGAACCATGCCCAGCCTCTATACTTTCCTTAAGTCTTTTCCAAATCTGGCACTATGGAACTTTCTTGAAGGAAAGGAGAGGGATCCCCATGGTGAAGAGGTGGCATTGCCTCTTTCTTCTCCTAAGCATGTCCTCCAGTTACCTGTGCCTCTTCCCCAGCTCCTCTTTCCCCCTTCTCAGATTTGCCTGATTAACCACTATATACAAATATGGTGGGGAGGTGGAATTCTGTATAATGTGTTTCACTGCGTGCTGTTGGCATCTTTCTCTTTCACCCCAAAATGGTTTTGCCCTGACTGGTCAGTGGTAAATCTTCAGGGCTCCTGGAGTCCACTAGAACCTGAGCCCACTCCCATCACACAGCCCCACTACGGCCATCAGCAGTTATAAGAAAGTGGTAAGAGAATGATGTCTGTGCTTAGGCCTCCAAAGCCCTAGAATAGTCCACAGCTGGGGCCCAGTGTGTGAGAACCTGGGACTCTCTGCTCTTACTAACTCAGCCTTTTGTCTTTCTCCATTTTTCTATCCTGAGTGTGTCAGCTGTGAAGTCACCAACAGAAATCTCACAGAGCATGCACCAGCCTCCTCCACCTGCGCATGGCTCCTCTGCCTGCTGCTTCTCCCGGGTTGTGGGGGCTCTGTGGGCAGAGATGAGTTTAAGTTCAGAAAATGACAAGGGACCCACGTGTGTGTTCCTGGTGATAAGGGCTCCTGCTGCTCTCCTCTCCCACTTCTGCCTCCTCTCATGGCCTCAGCCAGCACCAGGAGGCATCACCAAGCTCCATGGGCCCAGCCGGGCCAGCGGGGCACCCCCTCCTCCTGCCTGCTCATTGCACAACACCTGGCTCTGCCTCCCCATCATCTGGCACTTGTAGGACCAGTGCCAGGGACTGGGTCATGAATCGGGAGCAGAGCCCTATTTGCTATTTCCAAAAATATCTACCCCTGTGTGGTTTGAATTTCTCTGGCATTTGTCAACCCTCTGCTTATTTAGCATTTTGCCTCTGATGGCTGAAATTTTAGGTTCATTTCGCAGCACCATATCCTATCTCTCCAACTAGATAGTAAGCTTTTGGGGAACCAGGTCGATGTCCCTTCATATTAGCTGACCAAAACCTTGCTTGAGGTGTTAAAGATTTCAAAATTCCCAGAAGCACTGTCTCCATAATTTGTATCTTGGAATTGTTGTGATTCAGGTGGTCTTGGCCTCTTGGCCTCAAAATACCCAAGTTGAAGAGAGAAGGGAAAAGCCAGGAGTACATGGGCCTGATGCCAGATGAAGCCTCAAGCATGCCAGCAATTTAAACTAGAGGATCATGGTAAAGTGACATCATCTTGGATGTTATTGGCATCCAAGGGGTGGGGCCCTCCAGCCGTGAATGATGGATGGCTTTCATCTTGATGACCAACTCTAATGCATAAGAGTGACTGTCTGGGGTCCTATGTAGAAGAGGACCCTGAGGTTGCACCCATGACTGGTGGGAAAGATTGACGGGCTCATTGGCACTGTTTGCATGGGTCTAGGGAAGAGAGAGAGTGTGCTCTGTTGGGCACTGTTCTTCTCTGAACAGTGCTGGGAGTTTGGAGTTGGGTGAATGGCAGAATTCGTGGATCCAGAGCTCCTTCTGTGAAGAGCAGAACCATGTCCAAAAGTGAAAGTGGAAAAGGGTGGTCTTGTCTTCATGGCAGAATGGCCTGGCCTAGTTCAGGCTGCGGTTTACACAGTAGATTCCTCAGCACAGCTCTCCTTTGGGGTACCTGTAACACATATCTGGAACTCAACACAGAGCTACATACAGTCGTGGAGACAAGGCAAAAGGAGATGTGACCAGAGGAAGGCTTGAACTTTTGGGTTCATTTCACATACCCCAGATACTAAGCTATTAGCAACAGGATTAACTCCAGACCCTCCCTCATTAGTAGCTCAGAGCATTTTGATATAATGGCAGCCTTGTTCTGGATTTGCGTGTAAGGCTAGATCTCAGTGACTCCCAAAGAGCTGTGCTGCCAGGGCAGAAATTAATGAGCATTGAGATCCTGTTTGCAACCTAGATAAGCACAATGGCCTCCCAGCCTTCAGGTTTATTCCACTCCAATTCATCACTACTAATGCTTCCTGAATGTTCTGTCTAAAGCATATTTCTCATCCTCATGGCCCCTTGTTATGATTCTTCAATGAATCTCCTTCACCTACAGAATAAAATCTAAGCTCCCTAGGCTAGTCTGGTGAGTTTCCCATGCAATACGCTTTCTGTCTGTCTATGACCCTGTGCATCTCCATTTCTGTCCTTGCCTTATGTTCCATTCACATGGAACCACTTGAGGACACCAAAAGTCCTGAGTTGCTTCCTTCTGCCATTCCTTTGTGCATCCTGCTTTCTCTGCCTCGAATGTTCTCCCCAACCTTCACTGCTGAGGTCAGCGGAATCCAAAGATGACTCCCAATGACTTTTGCCTTTATATAATCTCCCCCTCTTGAATATGGGCCAAATCAATTAATATGATGGAATGTCATCATAATTGGTTTACTGTTTAGCTGACTTTGAGTTAATCAAAAGGGAGAGTATCCTGGGTGGGCCTGACTTAATTGGAAGAGCTTTTAATAGATGGTGACACATCAGAAAGATGTGGCCCTGCTGGCTTTGGAGACTTAAGCTTCCATATTGTGAGAAGCCATGTGAGAGTAGACTCAAGGAGTGGAGAGAGTCTCTGATCAACAGCCAGCAAGGAAGTAGGGACTTCAATCCTACAGTGACATGCAACAGAATTCTGCCAAGAATCCCAATGAGTTTGGAAGAGGTCCCCAAGCTCTAGATGAGAACCACAGCTGCCTGACACCTGAATTTCTACCTTGTGAGACCCTGAGTGGAGAACACGGCTAAGCCTCACCTGGACTCCTGAACCATGGAAACCATGAGATAATAAATATGCATTGTTTTAAGCTGCTGTGTTTTTGGTAATTAATTATACACCAATAAGAACTCTTCCTGATGTTTCAAGATTCAGCTCAAGAATTATCTCCTGTAAGATTTACTTGACTCTGCCAGGTGGAATGGGCCACCCCCTGTGTAGTCCCAGGCTCCCCCTGTAGCTGGGGCTTATTTGTTAACATGTCACCTGCTATGGACTGAATGGTATCCCCTGCAAAATTCATAATTGGAGCCCTAACTCCCAATGTGATATATATGGAGATGGGGCCTTTGGGAGATAGTTAGATTTGGATGCCATGGAATCAGTGTTTTTATAAAAGGAAGGCACACCTGGGTTCTTTTTGTGCAATGTGAGAACATGATGAGAAGGCGGCTGTCAACAAGCCAAGAAGAGAGCCCTCACCAGAACCCAACCATGCTGTCACCTTGATCTTGGACTTCCAGCCTCCAGAACTGTGAAGAATAAATTTCTGTGGTTTAAGTCATCCAGGAGATGGTATTTGGTTACAGCAGCTCAAGCTGACTAAGATGCTGTCTGTTTACTTGTCTGTTTGCCTCACTGGCCTGTGAGACCCTTGAGGGAAGCCATTGCCTTGTTCATCCTTATCTCCCCAGTGCCTGGCACAATGTCTGGCATATGGTAACTGCAGTAACCAAGGCTGGGAGCCACAGCTCCCTCCAGCCTAGCTTTGTTCCTCTCCAGCATCCCTCAGATATCCCCAGGGTCTGAGGCCTTGGAATGTCCTTCCTCTTAGGATTTCTCAGAGGAAATCAACGAGACATGCCTCTAAAGTAAACAAACAGGCACTGGGAGATACAAATGCCCACTTGTACCGAACCCCACAGCCGTTTCATAATTTATGGACAGTTCTAGGGAGATAAATATTGGTTTTGATTATTTTACTATGAATAATTGAAAGCAATCTCAGAGTACATTAAGCAGAATCCTAGTCCCATGAAAAGCTCAACAAAGAAAAAAGGTTACATAGTGAAGGAGGTTTGAGGAGTGCTTCTTCCCATTTCCCTTTCTTAGAGAGCCACAGAGCACCTGAACACATTGAAGACCACGAGAAGTCCTGCAGTAAAGAAACCTGCCTAATAGTTCAATCCAACACATCTCACGTTTATGTGTTAAAAATGAACTCAATGATGAAATAATATCTGTTAATTTCTCAAGGTTGGAAAATACCTCAGGAAGTCTTGTAGTATATGATCTAAAATTCTATAGCCCTAAAAGTCAGCTCCTTCTGCCTTCTGCTGTGAGGAATGTGGATATCCAAGCTGAGACAGTGAATCCTTGTGTTGCACTTGAGGGAAATGAGGCCGAGAAGAGGCAGAGTTACTTGTCCTAAGCACATAGTCAGCTTTGACTGAGGCGGGAGCAAAGCACAGTACATTCCTTACTGCCAATTCAGTGTCCTGTCCCCTTGTTACATTGGCTTGCTGAAAAGTAGACCAGTCAGCACATTCTTCACCCTGCTTATATGTTGCTGTGTAACAAATCAACTCAAACTTTGTAGCATAAAATATGAACAAACACCTTTTATTGTTATCTCTTCTAGTTTTGCGGGTTACTGGGATCAGTGAAGTGGTCCTTACTCAGGGTCTCTCGTGCAGTTGCCGTTAAATGATGGCTGAGGCTGGGGTCATCTCAAAGGCTTTCCTATTCCCATGTGTGATGGTGGATGCTGCCTGTCGCTGGAAACTCAGCAGGGGCTGCTGGCCAGAACACCTGCTGACAGCCTTCCAAGGTGACCTGGGTTTCTTCACAGCTTGGTGGCTGGATTCCAAGGGCAAATGTGCCCATGCACACCCTTTTATGACCTAGCCTTGGAGTCATGCAGCACCTTTTCTACTGCCTTCTACCACTTAGAAGCAAATCACTCAAGTTGCCCCATACTTAAGGGGAAGGGAATTAGACTCCAGGTTTTGTTGGGAAGAGTCTCAAAGTGTTTATGGACATGTTCTAAAACCACCATGTTCCTATTCCATCTGGTGACTCATAGTCTTGCCCTCTTCCCCCAGGCAAGTTCCTCTGGCCTCTGCATGTCACTTGTTGGTGGCAAAGAGATGTTACCGTTACAGAATTTTCTCATTCATAGATTACAAAACTTAGCAAATGTTGGTTAATATGTCTGTGACACTGGTGAAGGTTTTTTTTTAGAGGAGAGATTAGAACTAGAATCCAGGAATTCCTAAAATGTGGTATTCACCTTGAGCCCCAATTACACTCATCTTTATGCGGTCACATTCATTATGGTCTGTTTCTGACCATCAAAGTGTTCCCTTCATATATAGCATGGATAAATTTCAGTCCCCAAACTCAGATATGCAGGAAATAGTACTTCTCTTATTATTCCATAATTCAATCTCTCTCCAGTCACAGTTGTGACGAAGATGGGGGCAGCAGAATTTAATCTCAGCCAATTTATTATTTGCCCTCCTCTCTACACCAGAGCCTTGGAGGAGCAGGAACCCACCCCTGAGATGTGAGGATGGACCTTAATCTCTATAAGCCAGGCCTATAACAACCAGGCCTGCTCTTTAATGTTTGGTGGAACCATTCAAGACCTTGGAGAGTGAAGCTTGCAATTGTGTAAGAACTTTGCTGGAGCCACCACACACACCTCAAATGGTCCCCCTTGAGTCCCTAAAGTCTTGCTGACTCTGGGGCCTTCCCCACCCTGTGCAGCTGGGAACATGGCTGGCCTGACTGTGGCCAGGATGGTTCTACCTTGGTCCATTAGGATCAGTGTGATCTGTTCTCCTACACATCACTCCCTTGCCTATGTGATTGGCTTGGCTAAGTTAGCCAGCCTGGATCTGGACTCTCTCTACTTATGAAATATAATACTCATGCGAATGTAGGTGGCCAATATGCCTCATTTTATCATGCTCATTATAGTTTGTTTCTGACCATAAAGATGGTTATTCCCTATTTATCAGATGTATCTTTTTTTTTTTTTAAGAGGGATTCTTGTTCTGTCACAGGCTGCAGTGAACTGGCGCAATCTCAGCCCACCGCAACCTCTGCCTCCCGGATTCAAGTGATTCTCCTGCTTCAGCATCCGAGTAGCTGGGATTACAGGCATGTACCACCATGTCCAGCTAATTTTTGTACTTTGAGTAGAGACGGGGTTTTGCTATGTTGTCCAGACCGGTCTTGAACTCCTGGCCTCGAGTGATCTGCCTGCCTCGGCCTCCCAAAGTGCTGGGATTACAGGCATTAGCCACCGCACCTGGCAGAGATGTATCCTTATATATTCTCAGATGCCTCTGTTTAGTACACAGCCAGAAGAAACAAGAGCCCCAAGAATTTGGGGTTTTTTTAAATAGCTTTATTGCAATATAATTCACATACATACAATTTACCTAAAGTGTGCAATCTAATGTTTTAAGTATAATCACAGAGCTATGCAGTCATTATCACAATATAATTTTAGAACATTTTCATCACCTGAAAAAGAGCCCAGTACCCACCAGTATTCACTCCTCAGCTCAGGCTATAATATCCCCATATCCCCCTCTCAGCCCTAGGAAACCACTAATCCCAATAAATATTTTATTTTTTGTAGTATGTTCTCATTTCAAATAAAAACTAACTAAATATCTCTATATAGCTATATGTTTACATTTATACTACATGTCACCATGTTGTCAGTCATTATGGGGGCATAGATTAATGAGTGCTATGGTTTGAATATTTGTGTCTCTTCAATATTCACATATTGAAACCCTAACCCCCAAGGTTAAGGGCAGGGCCTTTGGGAGGTGATTAGCTCATGGGGACAGAACTCTCATGAATGGGATTATGCCCTTATAAAAGGGGCCTGAGAGAGACCTCTTGCTCCTTCTACCATGTGAGGACAAACAGAAAAGTCACCATTTATGAACAAGAAATCAGGCCCTTGCCAGACACTGAATCTGTTAGCACCTTGATCTTGGACTTCCTAGATCCAGAGCCAGTCTGATGCCAGGCCCCCAACCCAATGTGCCTCTAGAAGTGTGTGCAATAAAGTTCTGTTGCTTATAAGTCACCCACTATGATATTTTATTGCCGTGGCCTGAATGGACTAAAACAATGAGGGACTTTCATAATCACCAGCGATATTTGAATTTAAAATTCACTTTTGTATTCAGAAAAATTATAGATATCTCTCTTAATATAAAGCTCAGGAATGTCTTCAGCATTTTTATTCTCTGTGTGTGTGCAAAAGCTTATGGATATTTTCAAACAATATAAAAATACAAAGAAAAGTATAATAAACCCCCACACTCATCACTTATGCCTGGTAAAGTTTTAAATCATTGTATGAAGGAAAGAGTCTCTTGTGATAATAAAGAGGGGAAGATTGCTTTCCTGAAGAAGTTTTGTTTTAAACTTTAGTTTTCTAATTAAATATGATTTGTTACTAAAAAATTTTGGAAATACAGAAACTAGAAAGCTAACATCTTCCATAATTCCATCCCCATAAAAGTAATCACTGTAAAAGGTTTTGTATCTATTCTTCAAAATCTTTTTCTATGCATATCCTAACATGGAGATTTGCTGATGTTTTTAACAAAAATGCTATCATACATGTACATGCTATTTTGCAACTTCCTCCTTGTGGCTAATGCTATATTTTAGACAGCGTCTTTGTCAGTATATTTAGACCTGGGCAACTTAGGGAGAGAAGGAAGATCTTCTCTACTTTTTTTGGACTTGAATTTTCATAGCAAGAGTCCATCTCATTACCATCAGTGGCTTGCATGACCCCTACTCTAACTCCAACCACAAGATTAGAGTGAAAAGCACAACGTTGTCCCCATTTATGTTCAGGGAATGCAGAGATGGACCCTACGTGATGTTGATGATGATAATAAAGATGGTGGTAGTGATCATAATAATAGATCTTGACATTTGAAAAGCATTTGGACCTACCTTATGGTGGAAATTCAAAAAAATTATCTTTGTTATTAATAATACAACAAATAAAGGCCGAGCTCAAAGTTGGGGATGCAAAAAGACGTGGAGTAGTTTCCCCAACACAGCTTCCTGACTGTGCTCTTTCCTCCCCTCTAATGAGTGCCATTTATGTTTTCCTTTCTGCATTTCAAGGAATAGCAGGGAATGGATTTGTTTCCATTGTATCTGTTTCAAGTTGTTCTTCCTCCCATCTTCCTGCAGGAGTGAATGTTTCCTTCACTCATATATGAGTCCATATAACTTCTTTACAGTTTAGTTTCTGATATATTTAACAGAGGGGGAGAAATTTTTCCAAGTAAGGGCCTTTGGGGGAAGATGCCTCTGAGTCTTGTATAATTTATTAATGGGAAAAACATTAATTTCACATTTCATTCTGCTGCAAAATCCATATGACCCCAGTCAGTTTGGTACGTTTGCAAAGGCAGAGCTGGCTTTTAAACAAAGTAAGTGTGGGACACCAGCTGTGAGACTAGGATAGACCTTGGCCTTCAACTTTCCCAAACTCTTCTTTGCAGAGGGGAAAACTGAGGCCAAGAAGGGTAATGTGTATCACAGAAGGTCAGAGCCAGTCTGATGCCAGGCCCGCAACCAATGTGTCTTTTCTGGGTGAAGAAGGAAATAGAGGCCTTGACTTCGAGGTGCCAGCAGGATCTGATGGGACATGGATGCCTGAAATCTCCTTTAGTGATTAAAAAAATCTACCTTTATAGGTAAATGTCTATCAAGAAAGTTGCATAGAGAGACTCTGGAAGAAAAGAATTACATATTTCCCATAATGGGAGATCACTTTATTATATAAAAATGTTCAAAGCATTCAAAACTCAGGAAATATAATGAGCATATCAAAAATTATCTGCATCTGAAAAAATCTCCTCTTTTAAGACTGGAAATAGAAAAAAGCTGAGAGACAGGAGGAGCCAACTCCAACTTATACAAGGTTCCTTAAAATGGTGTAAGTGAGGGGAGTGCTGGGTGGAGGTTGGCTGACTGAATTATGTCACTAACTTACTGTGTAGGATGTGGGCAAATCACATCACCTCCCAAGAGTTTCATTTCTTTTCCTGTAAAATAATAGTCTTAAACTAAATAATTTCTAAGGACTCCTAGAACCATAGGAAGTTCCACCTGACATTATTCCAACCACCTGCAAATTCTCACCAGCTTCTTCCAACCTGATAAGTTTCTTGTTGATTGTCAGCACTCAAGAGACTTCAGTAATTCTTCTTCCATTTTAATTAAAATCTTAGCCTGCCTGAAAATTATTGCTGTCAAGCCAGGGACTCAGAAACCCATGCTAATTAACATGGATTGTCATTCTCAACATTCTCTGTCAAATGGTACTTTATTTTTCATCTTGGAGACAAGTATTTTTTAACGTCGTGTTATTTCTGAGTTGTCTTTAATGCTTAACACACCTCTGGGTATACATAATGTGTGGCTTACTCTCCTTTCCAGATCATTTAAATTAAAAACAGTTTGGCCTAAGAATTATTCTTCCAGTACTCTGCCTGATGCCACCAACCAAGCCGCCATATGGTCCTTTGTCCTGAGTGCAGCCTTTCAGGCTGAGACATTTTGTTTGAAATTAACAGATTTTGAATGTCAGGCTCAGTGTCCTGACCCTTGTATTGTTCTGAGTGCTTTCCTGTTTTAATGAAAAGCTGTGATTCATATCTTCAATCTACACCTTAGAAAACCTCAATTGCAAGACAGTAGACTTATCTGAGGAAGGTAATGGTGATGTTGATGACAACAGATAACATTCATCCACTAACGGTTTATGACACCAGCCAGGCACTGTGCTAAGTATAACAAGAAATATATTTGGTCTTTGTCTCCAGTTGCCAACACAGTGCTCCCAAAACTATTGGAATTTTCTGAGTAATGAATTGTTATTCATAAGGAACCCCTTTCAGTCACATCTGAGTTTATGCTAATGCAGTGACTTAGGTAGGACTCCTAAGTAGCCTCAGGAAGTGGTTGATCACCAGAAAGACGGAGCGATTAGAGAGTGGGAACTTTCAGCCCCACCTACTACCTTCTGGGGGAGGGCTGGAGATTGAGCTGTATAAAAACTATTGAAAAATGAGATTTGGAGAGCTTTCAGGTTGGCAAACACATGGAGGTGCTGGGAGAGTAGTGCACCCAGAGAGGGCACAGAAACACTCTGCACTCCCCAGACCTTGCCCTATGCACCTTTTCTGTTTGGCTGTTCCTGAGTTGTATCCTTTATAATAAACCAGTAAACAAAAATATTTTTCTGAGATCTGAAATGCATTCTAGCAGATTATCGAACTTGAGGAGAGGGTTGTGGGAACTGCACATTTATAGCCAGTTGGTCAGAAGTTCAGTGACCCTGGACTTGTGACTGGTATCTGCAGTTGAGGCAGTCTTGTGGGACCGAACCCTTAAATCTGTGGAATCCGACACTAACTACTTAGAGTTAGTGTCAGAATTGAATCAAATTGTAGGACACCCAGTTGGTGTCCAGAGAATTGGAGAATTGGTTTTTGGTATTGGAAAATACTCTGGAATGACACATGTATTATCCCATACTGAATCCTCTCAGCAGTCTTATAAGTATAGTCATCATGGTCATTGTACAGATATGGACCCTGAAGCCCAAAGAGATTAAGTAGCTTCTTCAAGGTCAAACAGTCAACAGTACAGGCAGGATTCAACTCCAACCATCTGACTCTAGACCTATTTGATACTATATTAGTCCATTTGTGTTGCTATAAAGGAATACCTGAGACTGGGTAATTTATGAAGAAAAGAGGTTTATTCAGCTCATAGTTCTGCAGGCTATATGAGCATGGCACCAGCATCTGCCTGGCTTATGGTGAGGACTCAGGAAGCTTACAATCATGGTGGAAGGGAAGGGGAGCCAGCATATCACATGGCAAGAGAGGGGAGGTGCCAGATTTTTTAAACAATCAAATCTCAAGTGAATTAATAGAGTGAGAACTCACTCTCATTACCAACAGGACCATACCCAGCCATTCATGAAGGACCCTCTTCCATGACCCAAACACCTCCCATGAGGCCTCACCTCCAACATTGGGGATAACAATTCAACATGAGGTTTTAGAATGGACAAATATCCAAACCATATGCGAAACCTTAAGGAATGAAAGGAGAGTGACATGGTCCCCAAGTCTGTGAGTGCCCCAGCATATCAGCAGCAGAAAGAAAAAGACTCAGTTCTGAGTTAGTTGGTCTGCACTTGTTTATGCAACAAGCATTTTTGAAAAGTCTACTGTATGCCTATGTGAGGCACGTGTTGGCTTAAGTTGACTAAAATAGAGTCTGCACTGCAGAGCTTGGGATCTAACACCAGGAGCAGCTAAGTGTGCATAAATTATTACAGAGGAAGAACAGAACATGATCCATGCCATGGAAGGTACAAAGTACAGGGAATTCAGGACAGGCCCAGCATTTCAAGCAGGAGTCATCATCAGAAAGTTGCAAGCTATTTAAATAACTTTTGTTCTCTGTTTCAGTGGAAAAACTGACACTACCTCAACTCAGGGGGTCATTTCTTTCTTTTTGTTTGCATGTGTCTTTTTTCTTTTTAAGAGAAGCAAGCCTTGATTTCCTTGTTTTGCAAATAAAGTTAGCTGAGTTTGTTGCTTTTCAGTGATTAGTCAAAGAGACCAAATTCCATATCCTCCTCTGACTCTTCCTTGGCTTCAACTTTGTTTGGGGCTGCAGCAGCAGTAGTAGCAGGAGCGTCCACAGGAGCAGCAGCCACAAAATGCAGATGGAGCAGCAAAGATGGCCTTGGCCTTTCCAGCAAGCAGGAAGGCGTAATCAGTCTCCACAGACAAAGCCAGCACCCATTTGTACCTGCTGATGATAGGATAGGGAACTGATGCAACAGTTGGGTAACCAATCTGCAGACAGACACTGGGAACATTACGGACACCCTCCAGGAAGCAAGGATGCAGTTTCCTCTGCCATGTCAAGCACTTCAGGGTTGTAGATGCTGCAGTTGTCAAACACCGGCTGGATGATCAGCTCAAAGGAGGAGGGGGAGATGTTCCACATGTTCACCAGTGTGGCTTCACTGGCTCCCGCTTTGTCTCCAGTCTTAATCAGTGGCACCTCACTCAGGATTTCAACGGAGCCCCTGAACATCTTAGTTCCTGATGCCGAAAACCTGTAAGAAAGGTCTTCTTGGGCCCCAGACCAGGGTTCCAGGTGAGCATAGTGACTTCACATGGGGCAATAGCACCAGCATAAGTGGCAGCAAGTCCCTGATCTCAGTGAGGTCCTACTTGGTGAACACAAAACCTACATACCCCCAGAAATGAAATGAGGCAATGGTTTCTCCAGAGCTGTGTTGTTTTCCAGATGTCCTTGGATAGCCTCATGCATCATGGTGCTCTTGTCCACCAGCCTTCCCTTGCAGGGACATTTGGATCTGCTTCATCTGCTCGGAGCCCACATTGTTCACTCCCACAATGAAGCATTTTGGATAATCATCCAAATGTTCGATGACCTTAAGGAAGTAGTTGGACTTCCAGGTTGCCCTGTCTTCCCTGGGCATCACAGTAGTGTGTCAGGGATTGCCATGCAGAGTTTTAAAGATGATGTCATTCTCAAAGGATGCCTGGAGAGAGTTGCTTGTGTCTTTTCAAAAAAACATGTTAAAAATCAAATGCCTGTTGTCTGATGGCTGCAGGTGAACCTACTGTTTTATGCCTTATCCATTTGTGTGGAGTGCAGAAAGTTCTACCCCCAGAGAGGAGCAAGAAGCAAAAAGGGTGCAGGGCCTGCTATGACCATGGCACCTCTCCTGGAGGACCCAGAGTTTCAGTGTCTCCTCCTCCCTGTGATAAAACAACAGTTCTCCACCATCTGGTCCGCTCACCAAGACTGCCTTGTTAGTGGATCTCAGCAGGTGAGGCTTTGGAGCACAGGCACCAGGTCAGCCTAATACAGAGCTGGGAGACACTCTCAGGGCAGTCCTGATTTAAAATGCTATCCTGTTGTCCCAGGTATAAACCAAAAATAAAATTCTAAGCCCCCTCAGCCATCTGAATAGACCCCTCCTCGGGGCCAAGGGCATTTCAAAGTTAACCTGAACAACTAGTTAGTTCAGGCCATGATGGGAATGGGGAGCTGGACATGCCTCATTATACCCTCCTCCCTTTTGAATTACTGACAGAACAGACTCTTTACGTCTGATAAGAAACATTTGCAATCCATTCTCTCTGAAGCCTGCTACCTGGGGGCTTCATCTGCCTGATAAATACTTGGTCTCCACAACCCTTTATCATAACCCAGACATTCCTTTCTATTGATAATAACTTTTAATGAATAGCCAATCAAAAAATCTTTAAATCTACCATAACCTGGAAGCCCCCCACCCATGAGTTGTCCCACCTTTCTAGACCAAACCATTGTACATCTTACATGTATTGATTGATGTCTCATATCTCCCTGAAATGTATGAAACCAAGCTGTACCCCAACCCCCTTGGGCACATGTTGTTCGGACCTCCTGAGGCTGTGTCATGGTTCTTCCTTAACCTTAGCAAAATAAACTTTCTAAATTGACTAAGACCTGTCTCAGATACTTTTAGTTTAGGCAGGTGTGCCCTCCCACTTGTCAAACTCAGTCCTAAGTTTATGAAAGGTGGTCACTGGAAACTTAAGGAAGGATACCCTGAAGTGGGAGTCAGGAATCTTGGGTCCTGGGCCCAGCTTTGTCACTGACCTGGGCGATCTTAGATAAAAAAACTTCATAACCTGAAGCTTCAGCTTTCTCATCTGTATAATGGGGTGATTGGTCTAAGTTAGTGTTTCCCAATGGAGGCTGATATGATTTGGCTGTGTCCCCACCTGACTCTCACTTTGAATTGTAATAATCCCCACATGTCAAGGGTAGGGCCAGGTGGAGACAATTGAATCATGTGGTGGTTTCCCCTATACCATTCTCGTGGTAGTGAATAAGTCTCATGAGATCTGATGGTTTTATAGATGGGTGTTCCCTTGCACAAACTCTCTTGCCTGCCAACATGCAAGATGTGACTTCGCTCTTCATTCACCTTCTGGTATGATTGTGAGGCCTCCCCAGCCATATGGAACTGTGAGTCAATTAAACCTCTTTCCTTTATAAACTACCGTCTCAGGTACGTCTTTATTAGCAGAATGAGAACAGACTAACATAGAGGCACTACTGACTTTTCAGTTGGGATCATTCTTATGTGGAACTGCTCATATATAGGGGTTAAGGATGTTTAACGCTCCTTGACATCTGGTCTCTAATTCTCAGTTATAAAGCTGCCCATCCTCAGTTATTATGAAAACCAGAACCACACCCAAACATTTCCAAAAGCCCCATGACAGGAGATGGGGTGGGTAATGTCACCTGGTTAAGAATTATTGAACTAAGTAGTCTCTACAAGGGCCTTCCAACCAGATGATTCTTATCAATAAATGTTAGGACAAAGAGCTATACCGAGGCCATCTCCCTCCAATACTTGAGGTACACTGTGTCAACAATGGCTTTGTAAAAGTTTTATCAGTAGAGACCTACTTGGTTATCATGATTCCTGCAGTATTGTGTGTTTTGCTGCTGGTGTTTTGTTTTGTTCCATCTAATGCCTACATTTGTATGAGGCATTGATTTGAAGCCATTTAGGTCCCAG
The DNA here is from genome assembly GCF_000001405.40 of Homo sapiens. NCBI lineage: Eukaryota > Metazoa > Chordata > Mammalia > Primates > Hominidae > Homo > Homo sapiens. The sequence goes on along the minus strand of NW_003315956.1, from coordinate 170,802 downwards.
TAAAATGTCCCAGCTTTTTATTCCAACTACACAGAACATCCATTCATGTGATAATGAGTTTGCTGCTGCTTCACCTTCTCCAACAGGTCTGCTATTTCTAATTTGTACCTCTTCTTACCTATCAAGTAAAGCTCATGTCAACCTAAATAACAGAGAGAGGATCTCTAAAAGAAAAGAGATTTATTTGCGCCTAGGCATGGCAATGGGAATATGCATGCCAAATAAAACTACACAATTGTACAATACTTTACACAATTGTTTTGAAATAATTATCTTTGGCTATGAGGGTCACCACCAGTCTGATGTTGAACAGGCAGTTGCAGGGCAAATGTCCTTGCAGAAGTATTTTTTGTGTAAGGTTGTGATGGCCTTTGTGCAAGATTGTGGTTTTGTTGAGTTTTTAAACTCAGGCATACATGTGTGAGAACACTCTTCCCATTGCCTTCCCTAGCTCTATTTGTTACAGTTTTCTTCACATTAGTGACTCCATTTTGATTATGACAGCTTTCACAGTCAAATACTAAGACTTTCTGGTTTTGTACCACAAATTAAGAAAAACATAAAAATGCCCAAATATCTTTCCTAGAGCTGAGGACGTTAGTCTTTCCTAGATTTATTTGTTTTTCTTTTTGTTTTGTTTTGTTTTGTTTTGTTTTGAAAACAGGGTCTGGGTCTGCCACCCAGGCTGGAGGGCAGTGGTGTGATCTTGGTTCGCTGCAACCTCTGCCTCACAGGCTCAAGCCATCCTCCCACCTCAGCCCTCCAAATAGCTAGGACTACAGGCACACACCACCACGCCCAGCTAATTGTACTTTATATAGAGATGGGGTTTCACCATGTTGCCTAGGCTGGTCTCAAACTCCTGAGCTCAAGTGATCTGCCTGCCTTGGCTTCCCAAAGTGCTAGGATTACAGGCGTGAGCCACTGCGTCTGGCCTTTTCCTGTATTTCAATTGGCCACTGTAGCATTGGGCTTGACAGCTTACTGCCTCCTTGCGGAAGCTCGCCTACCATCAGCAGCTGGCAGAATTTGAGCTGCAAATGGCCTCACTTTGCTGTTAATTGAAGTGATGCAGCATCCTGTCTTTAAGGGATTTGAATGTCTGTGTGTGCTTATGAAGCATGAATAAGTGATGACTTTCTGTCTAAGGATCTCTTTTGAAATTGACAGCCTGTGCTCCCAGCCAGGCCCTCAGCTTTGTGGTGCAACTCAGAGCCAAGACTGCTCTGGGGCTGTGGTTTTGCTTAGTACACACCTGTGACGTGGGGCTAATTGTGTTGTGTTTTGAAATCTCCTCTTCTTCCAGCCCAGTCTTCAGCAAGCGTCCTGTAAAATGAAACGCTTGTCACATTCGGCTTTGTGGCTCTCCCTCCTGAGCCACCTGTGCAGGACGCTATGGCTGGAATTAACCTGTGCCAATGGGAGCCTGATCCAGTGTTTGGGGATGGTGGAGTTTAAGCTGGCCTCGCTGTATCTTTCTGCTCAGCCCTGCAGCCTGAGGGGGCCTCTCTCTGGTAGTGACAGACAAGACAGGCCAACTCAGAGGTGGGTGCTGGGAAGTCAGCCTGGAGCAGGATCCAGGGGCCACGAATGCTTCCCTGGCTGACAAGCACAGGCCAGGCAGAAATGCACCAACTGGAGAGAGGCCAGAGCCCACCTTCATTCATCAAGGCAGGTAGAAAAGTGGCAGTTGTTATTGATTGCCCTTGACTGTATTATTGCTACGTTGAAATATTAAATATTCTGCTCTGTGGAGAGTCCATCGTAAAATGTGCTTTCCCCGAGAATGTCCCGCTATGCAGAAAGTGGAAGCATTTAAAATTTTTTCACTACCCCCAGCCATTGCAACATCATTCAGTTCTGTTATTGATTTCTTCAGGTTTTCAGCTCACCTTTCTTTTTGCCAACTCTGGCCAACAGACCCTCACTGGCTCACACTTTGACTATTGTTCCAAGCTCTAGGATAGAAACAAAATAAAGAGTAAGTGTTTCTCTTCCCACAGATCAAAGACCTTACAAGCTCCCCAAAAAAGAGCATTTATTAATAATTCTCTGTTGGTTGCTGTAGAACAAGTCGAAAGTTCTGGTTGTCCAAAATTATCTGAACATGCACTAGGAATAGACAGGTGTGGGATCCTAACTGCTTCAGCCCCACCCCACTCCTAACTACACCCATATGCCTTGTACAATAGGCACTTCTAGTTGGGAAGGATCCAGCACCCCTTGCTGCCTTAGGGAAGTGAGGAGGAAGCAGCGATAGAGTCAGAGAAGGAAAGACAACCTCATCTCCCAGAATCCTCAGGCAGCCACCATAACCCATTCAGCCTCCCAGCTTTGCAAATGCCCTAGGGCACTTGGTTATAATGCTATATTTGTGAATCATTCTTAATTACTCAATATTTAGAGACCAATTTGTGTTATGTTGATCCAAATCTTGCTATTCTGGGACATAGATTAAAAAAAAAAACTTTAAAAAAGCAAAATAGAATTTGGCTGTGTGTTGAAATTTCACAGGTTGCAGCAAGTACAACAGGGATGTATTCTGAGAAATGTATCATTAGGTGATTTCATCATTGTTTGAACATCACAGAGTGCACTTCCACAAACTTAGATGGTACAGCCTGCCACACACCTAGGCTCTATGGGATACCCTATTGCTCCTAAGCTACAAACCTGTACATCATGTTACTGTATTGAAAACTGTAGGCAATTGTAACACAATGGCAAGTATTGGTGTCTCTAAACACATCTAAACATAGAAAAGGCACAGTATAAGTACAGTTTAAAATATATTTTCTTAATTGTACACCTGTACAGGGTACTTAACATGAATGAAGCTTGCAGGACTGGAAGTTGTTCTGGGTGAGTCAGTGAGTGAGTGGTGAGTGAATGTGAAGGCCTAGGACATTACTGGACACTACTGCAGATTTTATACACACCGTACACTTAGGCTACATTAAATTTATAAAAAATTCTCTTCAATCATAACTTTAGCTTACTGTAACTTTTTTACTTTATAAACTTAACATTTTGAACACTTTTTGACTCTTATAATAATAGTTTAAAACACACATTGCACAGCTGTACAAAAATATTTTCTTTCCTTATATCTTTATTCTGTAAGGTTTTTCCTTTTTTTTTTTTTTTTGAGACGGAGTCTAGCTCTTTCACCCAGGCTGGAGTGCAGTGGCACAATCTCAGCTCACTGCAACCTCCGCCTCCCGGGTTCAAGCGATTCTCCTGTCTCAGCCTCCCGAGTAGCTGGGATTACAGGTGCCCACCATCACATTCAGCTAATTTTTGTAGTTTTAGTAGAGAAGGGGTTTCACTGTGTTGGCCAGGCTGGTCTCGAACTGCTGACCTCGTGATCCGCCTGCCTCGGCCTTCCAAAGTGCTGGGATTACAAGCGTGAACCACTGCACTCGGTCTACATTTTTAATTCTTTAAAAAACTAATATTCTCAGAACAAAGCCGGGTCCAGCTGCATTTGCCCGATAACAAGAAGCAGACAAACTAGGAAATAAGGGAATTCATTGCTGTAACTGGATACAGGGAGAAGGCCCGAGATAATTCCACCAGACCAACTCAAAGTGTTACAATTTTCTTAGTGCTTATATAGACTGGGGTTATGTGCCTATAAGCCGTATAGCATTCGCCTAAGTCTGTTGATAACTAATTTTGTTTCAACTAGAAGATCAGAGGCAAAAAATGCTTAGTTTGATTAAAAGGGCTCAGTACCTTCAGGCCTGTCCACTGTGGTACCAGGGTGATTATTTCTATCTTATCTCCTTTACAGCTTGGTCTGGAGAGCTGTGTTATGCTCTCCAGTGAATCTATTCAAACAGCTGCCTCTGTTACCTTGACTTGTCTCAGTTTCCATCGACCCAAGATGGGTCCCGGCACTAGGAATGTAAGGCTGTCTCTATTACTTTGACTTGCTCCAGGTTAGGGAAAAGCCCATGCAAGGCTCCTACTGACCATATGTTTCACTTCTAGCTTTGATGTCTGGGCACCAATTTCCCCAGGTTTAACGATTTGCTCAATGTTAAGGCAGTGCTGTGGAAATTTGTCTGTGTAACTGGAGAGCTATGCAGGCCTGTCTGTGTGCCTGGCATGCAGGCCTGTCTGGGCAATTGTCAGGGAGAATTGGCCTGCCACACTAAGACACAAACACACACATTAGCCACCTCCACAGAGTCAGGATCAGCATGTTGTGTCCAGGTGATAGGAATTTCTCAGCTCCATTATCATCTTACAAGACCACAATTGTATATGCAGTCTGTCTTGGCTAAAATATCGTTAAATGGCACATGACTGTGCTTAAACTGGATTCAGTCACTATTTCCTACAATGACACTTGTAATTAAAACACGGGGTCTTAATTCAGAATTTATTTTCTTAGTCTTTTACAATAGAACAAGCGTTGGCAAACTACAACCCACAGGCCCACCCCCTGTTTTTGTAAATAAAGTTTTATTGGAGCACAGCCACACCTACTCGTTTACATATTTTCTATTACTACTTTTGCTACAACAGCAGAGTTGGATAATTGGGACAGAGACCATATGGCCTGCAAAGCCTAAAATATTTACTATCTCCCCTTTGCCATCTCCTGTCCTGGAATTAACAAAAAATAACTAATGAAAACGCAAATGTTTCTTTAATGGGCAGGGCGATAGTTCTAGCATATGGGCTCTGCCTTCAGACCAACTTAAGGTCAAATTCCAGGTGTCTTTCTTACTAGCTGTGGGATCTGGTGTAAATGTGCAGCCTCATTTTCCTCTGCTGCAAGTAACAGATATCTCAACTCAAACCAACTAAAAAGATTATAAAAAGTGTCATCTCATATAGAAGGAAGTAAGGAAGAGAAACAGGATTTCAGGGTTAGCAGATTAAAAGACTCCAAGGCCCCGGGTTTCTAGCACCTCTCTCTCTTCCTGCCACTCTCAGTGATGTCTGCATGCTCAAACTGATAGCAGGAAAGATGCAGCAGTGCCAGACAACACATCTAGACTCAAAGATGTTCAAAAGACTTAAACTGATTTCCTTCTGGTACCCTCTTGGGATCAAGGACAAACTTTCCCAAAGCCTAACAACTGGTCTTCTCTCCTCTCTCATTAGCAGGTCACATGGCCATTGTTGAACCATTCATTGGAAAGAGGAATAGGATTGCCTGTATGCTAATCATGCCGCATGTAGAATTGAAGATGAAGTCAAATTCTGCAGAGGAACAGAGCTGCAAAAGGAAAAAGGAAATATCTGAACAAAATTGGGATTAGGAAGAGAAACGGAGGATGCCAATTCTGAGAAAGCAACCAAGAGAGCCCACTAAACTGGCCACTAAAATGTTTCATCCCTTACACAGGTCATGGACTAAGAAAAAAAGAAAAGAGAAAAAAATGTTTCATCCTTCCAAACACCTTTCTAGAACTATTTTGTTCTGCCCTACACACTCCCACCAAATGATCTCACTCACAGCTACATTTCAAGTGTCAGCTTATGAGCTGTTGGCTTATAAATTCATATTTTCAGCCCAGACCTTTTTACTGGGATCCAGATCTGTATATCAAACGGCCTTCTTGAAATCTTCTTTTGGATATCCCAAAGGCACTTCAAGTTCAGCTTGTTTAAAAGCAGATAGAGGACCTTCGATACCCCCCGCAACACAAACAACCCACATCTCTGCCCCAACCAGAACCATGCACAGTCTCCTCTATCCCAGTGAGTGGCAACATCATTCATCCAGGGACAGTAGCCTGAAACCTGAAGCCATCCTAGACACTTCCTTCTCCCTCACCTGCTTCTATCCAACCATCATCAGGTCTACTGAATTCAGCTCTTCCTCTCTGTCACCAATATTGCTCATGCTACTGAGAGACAGGACAAGCTGGATTTCCTAGGCTGACTAAGAATCCCTAAGCCTAGCTGGGAAGGTGACCACATCCACCTTTAAACATGGGGCTTGCAACTTAGCTCACACCGACCAACCAGGTAATAAAGAGAGCTCACTAAAATGCTAATTAGGCAAAAACAGGAGGTAAAGAAATAGCCAATCACCTATTGCCTGAGAGCACAGTGAGGGGGACAATGATCGGGATATAAACCCAGGCCTTCAAGCTGGCAATGGCTACCCTCTTTGGGTCCCCTCCCTTTGTATGGGAGCTCTGTTTTCGCTCTATTAAATCTTGCAACTGCGCTCTCTTCTGGTGCATGTTTGTTATGGCTTGGCTCAAGCTGAGCTTTCGCTCACTGTCCACCACTGCTGTTTGCCACCACCGCAGACCCGCTGCTGACTTCCATCCCTTCGGATCCGGCAGGGTGTCCTCTGTGCTCCTGATCTAGCAAGGCACGCATTGCTGCTCCTGATCGGGCTAAAGTCTTGCCATTGTTCCTGCATGGCTAAGTGCCCAGATTTGTCCTAATTGAGCTGAACACTAGTCACTGGGTTCCATGGTTCTCTTCCGTGACCCACGGCTTCTAATAGAGCTATAACACTCATCGCATGGTGCAAGATTCCATTCTTTGGAATCCGTGAGGCCAAGGCTTGCCACCATCTTGGAAGTGGCCTGCTGCCATCTTGGGAGCTCTGGGAGCAAGGAACCCCCGGTGACATTTTGGTAACCACGAAGAGATCTCCAAAGCAGTGAGTAATATTGGACCTCTTTCGCTTGCTATTCTGTCCTATCCTTCCTTAGAATTGGAGGAAAATACCAGGCACCTGTCCGCAGGTTAAAAATGATTAGCGTGTGGGAGGCTGAGGCAGGAGAATGGCGTGAACCCGGGAGGTGGAGCTTGCAGTGAGCTGAGATCGCACCACTGCACTCCAGCCTGGGCAACAGAGTGAGACTCTGTCTCAAAAAAATATAAAATAAAATAAAAATAAAAATAAAAACGATTAGCGTGGCCACCGGACTTAAAACTCAGGTGTGAGGCTATCAGGGGAAGGGCTTTCTAACAATCCCCAACCCAGAAGGGTTCGTCTGCCTGGAGCCAGCTTTCACTTTCAATTTTCTTGGGGAAGCTGAGGTCTGACTAGAGGCAGAAAGCTGTCCTCCCGAACTCCTGGCATTAGCCAGTTGAGATCATGGCACAGCTAGAAGTCTCTGCTCAACAGTCACCCATGCGTTCGCCCCTACCTTTCCTTCTGGCCCATACCTCCTGGGTCCCGACCACGACTTTCTTGAAAGTGTAGCCCCAAAATTCTCCTTACTTCTGAATCTACTTCCCCTGATCCCTACCTCCTAGGTACTAATGGTTCAGACTTTCATTTCATCTAGCAAGTTGTATCTCCAAAGGGATCTAAGGAAGCTCTATGCTGCATCCTTAGGCATCTAGGCTATAAATCCAGGGACTCTTATTCCTGATGTCCCTCCTGATTTAGGTATACAGCTCTCGACATGGGCAGTTATGTGGGACCCATTCCCTACCACCCTTGCCAGGGCCCCAAGCTTGTAATGGCGGAGGAGAGAGAGCGCGAGACAGAGGAGAGAGCGTGAGATGGAGGAGATAGAGCGAGATGGAGGAGAGAGAGTGACACGGAGGACAGAGAGTGAGATGGAGGAGAGAGAGACAAAGAGGGAGTCAAAGAGAAAAAGAAAGATATAAATAGTAAAAAAAAAAAACAAAAAAACAAAAAAACAAAAAACCAAAAAAACAAAAAAAAAAGTGTGCCCTATTCCTTTAAAAGCCAGGGTAAATTTCAAACCTATAATTGATAATTGAAGGTCTTCTCCATGACGCTATAATACTCCAATACTACTTTGTCAGTGTAAACAAGGGAGTAGCCTGAAAACACGGAGACCGCTGACAACCCATAGCTTTCCTATCAAAAATCCTTAACCCAGTAACCCGCGGAGGCATTCAATCTGTAGCAGCAACTGCTTTGCTAACAAAAGAAAGTAGAAAAGTAACTTTTAGAGGAAATGTCATTGTGAGCACACCTCACCAGTTCAGAATTATTCTAAGTCAAAAAAGCAAAAAAGTAGCTTACTAACTCAAAAATCTTAAAGTATGGGGCTATTCTGTTAGAAAAAGTTAATTTAACACCAACCACTGATAATTCCCCTAACCCAGCCAATTTCCTAACAGGGGATTTAAATCTTAATTACCATACAAAGGCCTGACCAGACCTAGGAGGAACTCCCTTCAGGACAGGACTATAGATGGTCCCTCCCAGGTGACTGAGGAAAAAACCACAATGGGTATTCAGTAATTGATAGGGAGACTCTTGTGGAAGCAGAGTTAGAAAAATTGCCTAATAATTGGTCTCCTCAAACGTGCAAGCTGTTTGCACTCAGCCAAGCCTTAAAGTACTTACAGAATCAAAAGACTATCTCAGTCCTGACTCAAAACCTTACTTACACCTTCTCTGAAACGAATTTGCATAAAAACTGTTGTTTATGGGAATGCATCTTGATGGGGCAGGTGGGTTGTTATGAAATACTCAGGAACCTAGCCTGGCTCTAGGACTCACCCCTGAGTGCAAAGGCGATGTTGGACATGCTGGTAAAGGAACACTAGAATCCAGTAGCCCAGACCCCTTTCTTTGTGGTCAAGAGAGGCAGGAAAAGGTGTGCAGGACTGCTACATCGGTGAGCATATGTAATCCGATAAGCAGAGGTCCATAGGTGGTTATGCACCCTGGAAAGGAATAAGCATTCGGACTATAGAGGATGCTCTAGGACTAATGCTCATCGGAAAATGAGTAGGGGTGCTGGCATCCCTATGTTCTTTTTTCAGATGGGAAGTGTTCCCCCAAGGCAAAAATGCCCCTAAGATGTATTCTGGAGAATTGGGACCAATTTGACCCTCAGACTCTAAGAAAGAAATGACTTACATTCTTCTGCAGTACCGCCTGGCCATGATATCCTCTTCAAGGGGGAGAAACCTGGCCTCCTGAGGGAAGTATAAATTATAACACCATCTTACAGCTAGACCTCTTTTGTAGAAAAGAAGGCAAATGGAGTGAATTGCCATATGTACAAACTTTCTTTTCATTAAGAGACAACTCGCAATTATGTAGAAAGTGTGATTTATGCCCTACAGGAAGCCCTCAGAGTCTACCTCCCTACGCCAGCATCCCCCCAACTCCTTCTCCAACTATTAAGGACCCCCTTCAACCCAAATGGTCCAAAAGAGACAGACAAAGGGGTAAACAATGAACCAAAGAGTGGCAATATTCCCCAATTATGCCGCCTCCAAGCAGTGGGAGGAGGAGAATTCGGCCCAGCCAGAGTGCGTGTACCTTTTTCTCTCTCAGACTTAAAGCAAATTAAAATAGACCTCGGTAAATTCTCAGATAACCCTGATGGCTATATTGATGTTTTACAAGGGTTAGGACAATGCTTTGATCTGACTTGGAGAGATATAATGTTACTGCTAAATCAGACACTAACCCCAAATGAAAAAAGTGCCGTCATAACTGCAGCCCGAGAGTTTGGCAATCTCTTGTATCTCAGTCAGGTCAATGATAGGATGACAACAGAGGAAAGAATGATTCCCCACAGGCCAGCAGGCAGTTCCCAGTGTAGACCCTCATTGAGACACAGAATCAGAACATGGAGATTGGTGCCGCAGACATTTGCCAACTTGCATGCTAGAAGGACTAAGGAAAATTAGGAAGAAGCCTATGAATTATTCAATGATGTCCACTATAACACAGGGAAAGGAAGAAAATCCTACTGCCTTTCTGGAGAGACTAAGGGAGGCATTGAGGAAGCATACCTCCCTGTCACCTGACTCTATTGAAGGCCAACCAATCTTAAAGGATAAGTTTATCACTCAGTCAGCTGCAGACATTAGAAAAAAACTTCAAAAGTCTGCCTTAGGCCCGGAGCGAAACTTAGAAACCCTGTTGAACTTGGCAACCTCAGTTTTTTATAATAGAGATCAGGAGGAGCAGGTAGAATGGGACAAACAGGATTTTAAAAAAGGCCACCGCTTTACTCATGGCCCACAGGCAAGCGGACTTTGGAGGCTCTGGAAAAGGGAAAAGCTGGGCAAATCGAATACCTAATAGGGCTTGCTTCCAGTGTGGTCTACAAGGACACTTTAAAAAAGATTGTCCAAGTAGAAGTAAGCTGCCCCCTCTTCCATGCCCCTTATGTTAAGGGAATCACTGGAAGGCCCACTGCCCCAGGGGATGAAGTTCCTTTGAGTCAGAAGTCACTAACCAGATGACCCAGCAGCAGGACTGAGGGTGTCTGGGGCAAGCACCAGCCCATGCCATCACCCTCACAGAGCCCCGGGTATGCTTGACCATCAAGGGCCAGGAGGTTAACTGTCTCCTGGACACTGGTGCAGCCTTCTCAGTCTTACTCTCCTGTCCTGGACAACTGTCATCCAGATCTGTCACTATCCAAGGGGTGCTAGGACAGCCAGTCACTAGATACTTCTCCCAGCCACTAAGTCATGGCTGGGGAACTTTACTTTTTTCATATGCTTTTCTAATTATGCCTGAAAGCCCCATTCCCTTGTTAGGGAGAGACATTCTAGCAAAAGCAGGGGCCGTTATACACCTGAACATAGGGGAAAGAACACCCGTTTGTTGTCCCCTGCTTGAGGAAGGAATTAATCCTGAAGTCTGGGCAACAGAAGGACAATATGGATAAGCAAAGAATGCCCATCCTGTTCAAGTTAAACTAAAGGATGCCACCTCCTTTCCCTGCGAAATGCAGGACCCCCTTAGACCTGAGGCCCAACAAGGACTCCAAAAGATTGTTAAGGACCTAAAAGCCCAAGGCCTAGCCTAGTAAAACCATGCAATAGCCCCTGCAATACTCCAATTTTAGGAGTACAGAAACCCAATGGACAGTGGAGGTTAGTGCAAGATCTCAGGACTATCAATGAGGCTGTTATTCCTCTATACTCAGCTGTACCTAACCCTTATACTCTGCTTTCCCAAATACCAGAGGAAGCAGAGTGGTTTACAGTCCTGGACCTTCAGGATGCCTTTTTCTGCAACCCTATACATCCTGACTCTCAATTCTTGTTTGCCTTTGAAGATCCTTCAAACCCAATGTCTCAACTCACCTGGACTGTTTTACCCCAAGGGTTCAGGGATAGCCCCCATCTATTTGGCCAGACATTAGCCCAAGACTTGAGCCGATTCTCATACTTGGACACTCTTGTCCTTCGGTACGTGGATGATTTACTTTTAGCCGCCCATTCAGAAACCTTGTGCCATCAAGCCACCCAAGTGCTCTTAAATTTCCTTGCTACCTGTGGCTACAGGGTTTCCAAACCAAAGGCTCAGCTCAGCTCATAGCAGGTTAAATCCTTAGGGCTAAAATACAATGCTAGCTATTCCTGTCAACCTCTAGAGGATCTGTGCCTGCTCTTCAAATGAAAACCATGAGGAAAGTAACTAAAATTGTAAATCCCCATGGCCCTCCCTTATCATATTTTTCTCTTTACTGTTCTCTTACCCCCTTTCACTCTCATTGCACCCCCTCAATGCCACTGTATGACCAGTAGCTCCCCTTACCAAGAGTTTCTATGGAGAATGCAGCTTCCTGGAAATATTGATGCCCCATTGTATAGGAGTTTATCTAAGGGAACGCCCACTTTCACTGCCCACACCATATGCCCAGTAACTGCTATAACTCTGCCACTCCTTGTATACATGCAAATACTCATTATTGGACAGGGAAAATGATTAATCCTAGTTGTCCTGCAGGAATTGGAGCCACTGTCTATTGGACTTACTTTACCCATACCGGTATGTCTGATGGGGGTGGAGTTCAAGATCAGGCAAGAGAAAAACATGTAAAGGAAATAATCTCCCAACTGACCTGGGTACATAGCACCCCTAGCCCCTACAAAGGACTAGATCTCTCAAAACTATATGAAACCCTCTGTACCCATACTCGCCTGGTAAGCCCATTTAATACCACCCTCACTGGGCTCCATGAGGTCTCGGCCCAAAACCCTACTAACTGTTGGATGTGCCTCCCCCTACACTTCAGGGCATACATTTCAATCCCTGTACCTGAACAATGGAACAACTTCAGCACAGAAATAAACACCACTCCTGTTTTAGTAGGACCTCTTGTTTCCAATCTGGAAATAACCCATACCTCAAACCTCACCTGTGTAAAATTTAGCAATACTATATACACAACCAACTCCCAATGCATCAGGTGGGCAACTCCTCCCACATGAATAGTTTGCCTACCCTCAGGAATATTTTTTGTCTGTGGTACCTCAGCGTATTGTTGTTTGAATGGCTCTTCAGAATCTATGTGCTTCCTCTCATTCTTAGTGCCCCCTATGACCATCTACACTGAACAAGAATTATACAATCATGTTGTACCTAAGCCCCACAACAAAAGAGTACCCATTCTTCCTTTTGTTATCGGAACAGGAGTGCTAGGTGGATGAGGTACTGGCATTGGTGATATCACAACCTCTACTCAGTTCTACTACAAACTATCTCAAGAACTAAATGGTGACATGGAACGGGTCGCCGACTCCCTGGTCACCTTGCAAGATCAACTTAACTCCCTAGCATCAGTAGTCCTTCAAAATTGAAGAGCTTTAGACTTGCTAACCACCAAAAGAGAGGGAACCTGTTTATTTTTAGGGGAAGAATGCTGTTATTATGTTAATCAATCCGGAATCATCACCGAGAAAGTTAAATTCAAGATCAAATACAATGTAGAGCAGAGGAGCTTCAAAACACTGGACCCTGGGGCCTCCTCAGCCAATGGATGCCCTGGATTCTCCCCTTCTTAGGACCTCTAGCAGCTATAATATTGCTACTCCTCTTTGGACCCTGTATCTTTAACCTCCTTGTTAAGTTTGTCTCTTCCAGAATTGAAGGTGTAAAGCTACAAATCATTCTTCAAATGGAGCCCCAGATGCAGTCCATGACTAAAATCTACCGTGGACCCCTGGACCAGCCTGCTAGCCCATGCTCCAATGTTAATGACATCAAAGGCACCCCTCCCAAGGAAATCTCAACTGCACAACCCCTACTACACCCCAATTCAGCAGGAAGCAGTTAGAGCAGTTGTCAGCCAACCTCCCCAACAGCACTTGGGTTTTCCTGTTGAGAGGGGGGACTGAGAGACAGGACTAGCTGGATTTCCTAGGCCAACTAAGAATCCCTAAGCCTAGCTGGGAAGGTGACCGCATCCACCTTTAAACATGGGGCTTGCAACTTAGCTCACACCGGCCAACCAGGTAATAAAGAGAGCTCACTAAAATGCTAATCAGGCAAAAACAGCAGGTAAAAAAATAGCCAATCATCTTTCGCCTGAGACCACAGTGGGCGGGACAATGATCAGGATATAAACCCAGGCATTCAAGCCAGCAATGGCTACCCTCTTTGGGTCCCCTCCCTTTGTATGGGAGCTCTGTTTTCGCTCTATTAAATCTTGCAACTGCGCTCTCTTCTGGTGCATGTTTGCTATGGCTCGGCTCTAGCTGAGCTTTTGTTCACTGTCCACCACTGCTGTTTGCTGCCGCCGCAGACCTGCCACTGACTTCCATCCCTTCGGATTCGGCAGGGTGTCCTCTGTGCCCCTGATCCAGCAAGGCACCCATTGCTGCTCCTGATCAGGCTAAAGTCTTGCCATTGTTCCTGCATGGCTAAGTGCCCAGGTTCATCCTAATTGAGCTGAACACTAGTCACTGGGTTCACAGTTCTCTTCCGTGACCCATGGCTTCTAATAGAGCTATAACACTCACTGCATGGCCCAAGATTCCATTCCTTGGAATCCATGAGGCCAAGAACCCCAGGTCAGAGAACACGAGGCTTGCCACCATTTTGGAAGTGGCCTGCTGCCATCTTGGGAGCTCTGGGAGCAAGGACTCCCCCGGTAACACTACCATCATCTCTCATCTGAATAAGTGAAATAGCCTAACAGGTGCACTCACAGCCTCTCTTGCTGCATCCAATAAGCTCTCCAGAGGGATGTTCTTACTGTAATGTTAAAAATTGATCATGTGACAGCCTCTTCTCAATTTGAGGCCCTTTAAAAATCTTACCAATTTTAGAAGAATCCATCCTTAAAATAAGCCTTGAAGCTCTGCTAATCTGGTCCCTGCTTACCTCTCTAGCCTCATCTCAGCCACACTCACCCTTGATGTCTATACTCAATCACATGAGCTATGACAGAGGCAATATCTGAATGCCCTTCCTTTGGAGGATTTCCCAACTTATGAATCTTTGCAGGCAACAGTTTCTCCCACTATTAAAGCTGAAAACTTGCTTTCATGGTGTCCCTTGCAGCTAAGGCACTGGCCTGTGACACTCCAGCCATCAGCTGTCCCCACACCAGACTCTGGCACTTATGACACAAAAGAATGCAAAATAGTACAATCTGTTGAAATGAGCATGGAAGTTATGATTGCTGTCATGAGTGTGCAGAGACAGCAGGGGAAGCAGACACAGCAACAGCCACTGCTGGTAGTGGTTAGGTCAGCAGAGCCAGCAGAAGAGTCTGTGCCCCATAAAAGCAGCACTAGGGGGGCTTCCTGAGGCCAGGTCTATAGCAGGATTTTGAATGTTCCTCTTGGGTGTGTTTCTCCTGTCTTTCCGGAGAGTTTGGGAACTGCTCAATATCCTGTAATCAATTCTTTTTGTGCTTAAATTAGCCAGAGTGGAACTATTTGCAAGGTAAAAACCCTGACTTCTAATTTGTTCCAGAAGTGATGACAAGAAATAGACCCTTAAGATAATAGGATGAATCTGAACTTGATTATCTGGTACAGTTGAGGGTGCAGTGAGTAAAATGCAGCAAATCCACACAGTATGGTATCCAGTGATTAAACTGTTAGGTAAATTATTAACTGTATTATCTGGAACAGAGTGTCCACTAAAGGTAGGGCTTGGGGGAATTAAGTGGCATCTGCCATAGAAGAGTTATCAAAAGCACAAGGACCAGCTTTTTAATTCAAGGACCAGCTGGGGAGGTGGTTGTTTCTTAGTGACACTGAAGAGATTAAAGAAATAAGAATGACAAGCTCTAAGTCCTAAATACTCAGTTCAAGACAGGAACAGAAGTAATGACTGCTGAATTAATATGTCATAGTGTGAAGCTGCAGGCAGAGATAGGCAAAAACTGAACTGGAAATTTGATCCTATGGATTGCTGAATTACAATATCAGGTTGATGCATAGCATCATTTATTCCTATGTAGAAGTTTGGACATGGATTAAGAAACAGTAGATTGGAATGGAATGGGATATGAAAGGAGAATTCAAATGCCTCCCAAGCTTTCAAACCCCAGCTGAAGGAGTCTTTCCTTTCACTTCTGATGAAGCTCTCCCTTTTTGAGGACCCCAAAGATCATGGCTGAGACAGGTATCTTGCCAAGTGAGCCAATTCACCTCACGATTTAGCCCTGCCACCCTTATAGTTTCCAGGCTCATGGCTAGATTCCAGTCTTATGGCTGGAATTTATGACCTGTAATTACAAAGACAAGCCCAGTAGGAGATGTACATGCCAAAGGATATGCAAGCTATTGCTCATTTTCATTTTCAAACACTTGCAGAGTATTGGTCTAGACCAAAGAGGGAGAAACATAATTTTAGATCCGGCTGAATTTACTAGCCCCTCTGTGGACCAGAACATCTAAATTCAATATGCTAGCTTGAGCAGCTGGAAGTGACTTTAGTTGTTTCCAATTAATTGACCGATACCTGGGCTCAGGGGTGGCCTAACTGCAAGATGTTGAAATGCCAGAAATTCGCTGGCACAGCAAATTTAGGTTGGTGCTTTTCAAACTTTAACGTGCACATGAATAGCATGAGAGTCTTGTTAAAATTCTGATTCAGTAGGGTCTTTGGTAGAGTCCAAGATTCAGAATTTCTAACAAGCTCCCAGAGGATCCCAGTATTCCTGGTCCTCATACCTTATGAGCAGCAAATATACAGGAAAGGATCCAGTGCCCTAGGGATATAGGAATGTTGAGGACTTATTATGGGCATCCCATTTACCCATCTTCTATATATTGCAAGACAGCCCAGAAGATGCTCCTTTTATCACCCCCAGAAATTACAATGGTGAAATTATTGCCATCGTCTTCAAAAGTAATGGCACGAGCTTTTCTCTATAGGTTGAGGATGCTGGTGAGAGAAACTGAGATGGAAATGGGTTTTCTGATTTCAATGACAATGCTGGGATTCCAGGGCACATAAAGCCTAGAATCTGCATTTACCTCCCTGAGGCAAGATGGGGGTTGTTATTGAATAGGATGTGGGACTAGAGTAACAGGATGATTGATTTACCACAGGGATCTTTGGCAATGGTCATTGACTGTGACCTCCTTAGACTGAAATAGACATCCAGTCCACTTAATTCCTTCTTGGCCAAAATAACAAATAAGTAAACAAAATCTAAATCTGATGAACAGAGGCCAGAGACACCACATAGTTATGGCTCCTGTCTTGGGTCAAGTTCTTTGAAGTAAACCCTGAAATGAAGATTTCTATGCAAGTAATTGACTAAGAAAGTGTTCCCAGGAGAAACCGGTAAGGAAAGAGGAAGCATGATAGGAAAGGGAGAGAAGCCAAGAAAGGTTGCAGTTTCAGGCCAAGCCCTAGCTTTGGCCTGATCCCACATGGGAACTCGAGTTTAAATTATGCTTGAGTTTGACCCAACTCCAGACAAGGAAGCTGGACCAATCAGTCTTTGAGTAGAAGCCCCAGGAGGGAAAGAGGTCATGAATTCCTAGGCACATCCAGCTCTCTGCATGTGGCCAAAGTGCCTCCAATAGTTACAGGACACAGCTCTGAAAAGAGTTACAAGTATAAGATATTAGAAGCAAAAGAACCCCAAACAAGGGGAAGGGGTGCACAGAAATGGTAAAAAAGACCCAAGGGGCTATGGATGGGCAGAGAATGTCTACTATAATACCCCATCCCAGGCTTAGTTAATTCAAAGACCTAGAGTGACCTGAATGAAGAGGCATTGCAAGTGAAATATCCTGTGGATCACCCCAAGTATATGCTGTAAATATTCCTTTTAGACTTGTCAGGTGATAATCAGGTGATGTTTGAAGTTTGGCGTGAATCCATCTCATGGTGGGTTTACTGAGGCTTTAACACTAATTCAAGGTTATTCACCCATTCCTGGATGTAGAGTTGGAGTAGATATAGTCTACAATGGTCAAAAATCCTACACTGGCCTCCTGATCTGAGGAAGAGAGGTTATTGTAATAGGAAGAAATGAGAGGAAGCCCCTGGAACTTCCCTGATATGGTTTGGCTGTGTCCCCACCCATCCAAATCTCATCTTGAATTGTAGTTCCATAATTCCCACATGTCATGGAAGGGACCCAGTGGGAGGTAATTGAATCATGGGGGCAGGTACCCCCATGCTGTTCTCATGATGGTGCGTGAGTCCTCACAAGATCTGATGGTCTTATAAGGGGCTTTTCCCTCTTTGCTCAGCACTTTTCCTTCCTGCCGCCATGTAAAGAAGGATGTGTTTGCCTCCTGTTCTGCCATGACTGTAAGTTTCCTGAGGTCTCCCCAGCCCTGCAGAACTGTGAGTCAATTAAACCTCTTTCCTTTATAAATTACTCAGTCTCAGGCATTTCTTTATAGCTGCTTGAAAAGGAACTAATACAGTAAGTTGGTATTGGTAGAGTGGGATGCTGCTATAAGGATACCCAGAAATTTGGAAGTAACTTTAGGTAACAGGCAGAGGTTGGAAGAGTTTGGGGGGCTTAGAAGAAGACAGGAAAATGTGGGAAAGTTTGGAACTTCCCAGAGACTTGGAGGTCTCAGAAGACAGGAAGATGTGGGAGAAAGTTTAGAACTTCCTAGAGGCTTGTTGAATGGCTTTGGCAAAAATGCTGATAATAATATCAATAATGAAGTCCAGGCTGAGGTGGTCTCATTGAAAATGAGGAACGTGTTAGCAACTGGAATAAAGGTGATTCTTGCTATGCTTTAGCAAAGAGACCGGCAGCATTTTGCTGCTGCCCTAGAGATCTGTGGAACTTTGAACTTGAGAGAGATGATTTAGGGTATCTGGCAGAAATTTCTAAGCAGCAAAGGGTCAAGAGGAAGCAGAGCATAAAAGTTTGGAAAATTTGCAGCTTGATGATGCAACAGAAAAAAAAAACCATTTTCTGGGGAGAAATTCAAGCCCTCTGCAGAAATTTGCATAAGCAACAAGGAGACGAGTGTTAAACACCAAGACAATGGGGGAAAATATCTCCAGGCCGTGTCAGAGACCTTCATGGCAGTCCCTCCCATTACAGGCCCAGAGGCCTAGGAGGGAAAAATGGTTTCCTGGGGCCAAGCTCAGGGCCCCCTGCTCTATGTAGCCTTGGGATATGGTACCCTCCATTCCAGCTGCTTCAGCTTTAGCTGGGGCTAAAAGGGGCCAAGGTACAGTTTGGGCCATTACTTCAGAGGGTGCAAGCTCCAAGCCTTGGTGGCTTACATGTGGTGTTGAGCCTGTGAGTGCAGAGAAATCAAGAATTGGGGTTTGGGAACCTCTGTCTAGATTTCAGAGGATGTATGGAAATGCCTGGATGTCCAGACAGAAGTTTGCTACAGGGGCAGAGCCCTCATGAAGAACTTCTGCTAAGGCAGTTCAGAATAGAGATGTGGGGTAAGAGCCTCACCCCCCTCCACCAAGTCCCCACTGGGGTACTGCCTAGTGGAACTGTGAGAGGAGGGCCACCATCCTTCAGACTCCAGAATGGTAGATCTGCCAAAAGCTTAAACCATGCACGTGGAAAGCCTGCAGACACTCAACGCCAGCTGTGAAAGCTTCCAGGAGGGGGTGCTGCATAACAAACTACCCCAAAACGTAGTATCTTAAAGCAACAAACATTTATTATTTCACATACTTTTTAAGAGTCACTACCATGGTTTGAGTGTCCCCTTCAAAACTCAAAACTTGAAATTTAATTTCTGTTGTAACAGTATTAAGAGGCGGAACCTTTAAGAAGTGATTAGGCCATGAGGGCTCCACCCTCATGAATGGATTAATGCCATTGTCATGGAAGTGGATTAGTTACGAGTTGGGTTCTTGATAAAAATAATGAATTTGGTCCTATTTTCTCTGTCTTGTGCACTCACTTCTGCCTTCCACCTTCCACCATGGGATGACCCTTACCAGATGCCACCACCTTGCTCTTGGACTTCCCAGCTTCTAGAATCATGAGTCAAATAACCTTTTATTGTTTATAAATTATTGTTGCAACTGCTGGAAACTGAGCACAGCTAATCTTATTGTCACCACCCTCACAGTCTGTAGTATTATTGTAGCAGCAGAAAACAAAGATAGAAATCTAGGAGTGGGTTAGCTGGGTGGTTGTGGCTCAGGGTTTCTCTACAAAGCTGTAATCAAGGTGTCAGTCAAGGCTGTAATCATCTGAAGGCTTGACTGGTGCTGGAAGATCCACTTCCAAGGTGGTTCACTCACATAGCTGCTGGTAGGAGGCTTTGGTTCCTCCTTGGCTACTGGCAAGATCTTCAGTTCAGCCTCTCCATAGCCTGTTTGAGTGTCATCATAACATGGCAAACCGGCTTGTGCCAGAACATGTGATCCAAGAGAGAAAGCAAGGCAGAAACCGTAGTGTTTTTATAACCTAGTTTCTGGAGCTACATACCATCACTGCTGCTGTATTCTATTGGTCACCCAGACCAGTTCTGATACAATGTGGGAGATGGGGACTACATGAAGCATGGATACTGGGAGGCGAAGATCATTGGGAGCTGTCTTGGAGATTTACTATCACATATTGTTTCTTCTTGCTGATGGAGTGCTATTGGGCACATCTGCCTTATTGCTTGGAATATCAGAAATACCCAGTCAGTGAAGAGAAACTCACACGCTATGTCACTTGGTGACTAGGAACTCAATCTCTATTGACATCTAGTAGCAATCCAGGAATGATTTTTCAAAAGGAGAATAGTTACTTTCTAAGGAGAGTGTGATTTTACTTCAAGACTCTTCAGAGTTATGGCTAAA
Organism: Homo sapiens; assembly: GCF_000001405.40. NCBI lineage: Eukaryota > Metazoa > Chordata > Mammalia > Primates > Hominidae > Homo > Homo sapiens. Next base: position 150,860 of record NW_003315956.1, on the reverse strand, counting down.
ATCTTCCACTTGGGGCTAGAAGTAGGCCTAAATTGGTGGTACCAATGATGCCAGTTTTAATGATAACTTCATGGCACATGCTCCATGAAATTATTTCAGACATGGTTACTGGACTTGCTTCTTCAGTACTCCAAGATCTCTGTATGCTATCCAATCTTTTAATAAATTCCTTTTCAGCAAAAATTGGCCAGAATTTTTTCTGTTTTTTTTTCCAGTTTGGAACCCAGAGTAACAAATTAGCTATCATTTATTCTCTCATATCAGCTACGTTTCTTTCTGCTACATGCCTTTACACATATTCTTTCCTCCATCTGCCTAAAACATGCTTTCTTCTCACTTTATTTACTTATTTTCTATTCATTCTTACAATCTTGGCTCAATTGTGCTTCTTAAGGAAGCCTTCCCTGATCCATCTCTAAGTATTCTCATAGTGCCATTTACCTCCCATTCCCATTACTAATCATGTTTGTGTGACTATTTTATCAATGAAGATATCCCCTCTAGCATATAAGCTCCCTGAGTGCAAGAGCCATACCTGTTTGGGTCAACATTTTATTTTCAGAGACTACTCCTGTGCCTGGGGCATTATAAGCACATTTGTCTAATAAATGTGTGACAGAAAAGTTCTTTCTCCAACTATTCAAGGACTGGTAGCGAAGAATAAAATAAGCATATATGTAAAGCAGACATCAGAATTTTGGGCATAGAGAAGCAGACTAGTAAATGTTTATTCCATTCTTCCTAGTTTTGTTCACCCACCATCCCCAGCTCATCTTCAACCCTTTCTTGGTCTTCAGCCAAACAGGTAAAGGATATTTTATAAATTCTCAGAACACAGTCAATGGCGCATACTGGCACCACTACATTGTGAACATTTTAGTTACTTTGACTCTTTGGTAATCAAAACTAAATTACCAAATTGAAAAAAGACTTAAATTTTGTTCTACCTGCAGAAAGAATCCAAATCTCTCTCAAAATTCTGGCTTGTTAGAGCTCTTCCTGTTCCTAATACCTCCACCTAAATTATATGCCTCTAGAGCTCTCCAAGCTATGAAGTGCTTTTTCGTTCTTAGCTTCATTTGTATGGCATAGGCTTGAGTGCAGGCTCTTTTCGGTCCCCCTCACTGATTAATTTATTTGATTTTACTTTTTGTTCTTAGCTTGAAGTACAAATTAGAAGCTTCTTTGGGTGGCTGATATAAGGATATATAACTAAATATATATCCTTACATGAGGATTTACAAGACAGGGTGATCCATGTGAAACACACACACACACACACACAGCATGAACTTGGAGGTTGGCACAGTCCCATCCACCCACAAGCAACTTCACAGAGATGTTGCCATGGCATTTCTTCAACAATGAGCAAGACTCCCTGCCTGAATGCTATTGTTCTTCTAGAGATTCTCCAGCACCTGCAAATTCTGTTTAAATGTCAGATGACAAAACAAGGCCCCTAACTATTTTACTATTCACTTTTGGTCGAACTGAACACAAAGCCACCAGATAAGAGGATGGGTTCATCAAAGACATCAGAGGGAGGCACTTTCCATTCAGAGGATTTTAAGGGCCGATCCTCATTCACTTAATGTTTTGTTAATTCAAAAATGGTAAAAGCTTTTTAAAAAATCTGTTCATTTCTAGTTCTCCATTTTGAAAGTCTAAGTTACCTTAGTGAGAAGGCAGCCCAATCCAAATTGCATTTTATGTAATTTACCCTAATTAGACTGCAAAAATTCTCAGCAAGGAATCCGGGAAGCACTCTGAAGCCTTTCTCCCCACCCGCTGAAATTAGAGCTGTCGCCCATTTTTCTGTCACAAAAACTAGACACATAACATTCTGTAAATTATTCTACCAGTGTAGGAGGAAAATATAATAAAAGGAAGTCGTTTATGCAGGAAAGAACATTCTAGCAGCACTGAGATAAGCCTCTCCCAGCCTAATCCTATTTCAATTTCTTTATCCTAGAAAATCAGTGAGCTGCATCAGGACCCTTCTGCACATCCTCCCAGATCCAGGGGAGCTCCTGGCAATAGACTGAGGGCCTGCCCTAACAGTGGCATCATAAAATTATTGGACATCAGCCTGCTCTGCGAAGTTGTACTGAAGTTTCCAGAGGTGTGTGGGCTCTTACATTTTATATCTGCTTTATCTGAAATATTAACTTGCTGCTATAGGCCAAACCATGACCTTACTGAACTGAAATCCAAACCCAGCAATTTAATCAGTCTTGCTTCCAAGAACGTAAACACATTTTTCTCTTTTGGGGGGTGGGGGGGCAGAAGGAGTGTTTGTTTTTATTAAAACAGGAGAGTGCATTAACTTTGAATTGGTAAACTTGAGTTCTAGTCAGGTGTGCTGTATTAGTCCATTTTCACACTGCTATAAAGAACTGCCTGAAACTGGGTAATTTATAAAGGACAGAGGTTTAATTGACTCACATGACTGGGGAGGCCTCAGGAAAATTACAATCATTGGAGAGGTGAAGGAAGTACCTTCTTCACAAGACGGCAGGGGCAGAGTGGTAGGGGCAGTGGCGGGGAACTGCCAAACACTTTAAAACCATCAGATCTTATAAGAACTCACTATCATGAGAACAGCATGGGGGAAATCACCCCCATAATCCAATCACCTCCCACCAGGTCCCTCCCTCGACACGGGGTATTACAATTCAAGATGAGATTTGGATGGGGACACAGAGCCAAACCATATCATATGCCCACGGACTAGTTGTCTATTTTAGCCAAATTACTTTCTTTCTCATTGGTAAAATTAGCATTGGATTAGATAATCTCTAAATATTTGAAATCCAGATGGAATTCCGTTGAGCCAAACCTAGACTGTTAAGTAAAACAGGCATTAACTAGAGATACAACTTCAGAAGAAAAGTAAATAAAAGGGATGTCTGAGTGTCCTCTGCCAGTCAGCAGGTCAATGAATATTTAATGACCACCTGCTTTATGCTAGGCACTTTCAGAAGTGGTCTGGGTTCAGCTTGTTTTCTTGGTGGTTCCAGGAAAAGGACTCTGGGGACTCAAATTTTGTCCATGGCACTTACTACTGCTAAGCTGTGAAGGCCTAGCTTCTCTAGGAAGTCTTACCGGATAGCTCAGTCCAGTATGCACTTGAGGGACAGGATCTCTGAGTTCGAGTGCCTTCCCTCTGACCCTTGCTTCTAGCAGGACTCAAGTATGCAATAGCCTAACTGCCTGAGGCTAGCTGGCCATAGAGTACCTTCAGCAGGGATATTTGAAAATATTTAACAATTGGCAAGGCACATGCTCTATCAGAGTAAATACTGGACATCCTGATGGTCTGACCAGTGCAAACAGTTGAATGTCAGCCCTGAGACCACTCTAATCTGGTGCAGCATAATGCCACAGGACCTTTGCACATGCCTGCCTGGAATGATTACTTTCCTCTCTTCACCAAACTAATGGCTACTGATTCATATGGGTGAGGTGAATCCAATCAACCTATGCTACAGGTGCCCTAGAAACACTAATTTTCTATGCAGATCCAATTGTCCTTGGTCTTATCCCCACCCACAAGCAGCAGCACTGATTAAACACTAGCAGTAAGCATAGCATTGAAACATTTATGTCTGTAGTTCTCCACCTGGGCTGGGAATGAGGGGAGTAGTATGGCAAAAATTCCCAAGGGATATTATTAGTTTGGCTAGGCCTGGTCTCTCACATTGATGAATAATATGTATAGACCAATAAATAATATTGAATTCAGGTATGCTTTCACATAATGAAATTGATATGTTCTTGAAAGTGGTCTCTAAGGCAAATGTTTCTAGCCTGAATCAACATTTCCCATTGGTTTCCATTAGAATTTCAAAGCTAATGTTGCCACTGAGAAAAATAATTGTCTTAAAGACAATTAAGAACACTATTCAGGCTGGGTGCTGTGGCTCATGCCTGTAATCCCAGCACTTTGGGAAGCCGAGGTGGGTGGATCACTTGAGGTCAGGAGTTTGAGACCAGCCTGGCCAACATGGTAAAATCCTGTCTCCACCAAAAAATATAAAAATTAGGCCGGCATACTGGCGGGTGCCTGCAGTCCTAGTTACTCAGGAGGCTGAGGTGGGAAAATCACTTTAACCTGGTTGGCAGAGGTTGCAGTGAGTGGAGGTTGCAGTGAGCAGAGGGTGCCACTGCACTCCAGCCTGGGTTACAAAATGAGACTGTCTTAAAAAAATAAAATAAATAAAAAATAAAAGAATACTATTCAGCAATAAAAAGGTAATAAACTGTATGACTCCATGTATATGACAAAACCATAGGGACAGAAAACAGATCACTGGTGACTGGGGATAGGGGAAGGGGATTGACTGCAAAGGGTATGACAAAACCAAAATGAGTGACAGATGTAAGTCTCAGCCATTGAGGTTTATCGAGCCAGCTTGAGGGTAGGCCCAGAGAAGAATGAGAGTCACAGATGCATCTGTGTCTGTTTTTTCCCAAAGAGATTCTCAGGAGGCTTAGTATTTTATACATTTTCCTTTAAAAAAAAAAGTGGAGGTGGCAGTGAGACAAATGGTTACATGCTTGTGAGACTTTAGTTAGTGCCACTAAATCTACATGTTACATAAGACAAGCTGAACATTGGAAGAAAAAGGGAAGAGAGGATGTGGACATCTCAGGGAGGGGTGAAGGAACAATTAATCTCCTCTTGTCTTTATTCTGTACCTGGGAAGATAAGCTGGTAATGGACATTATCAGTGTGGAGGGTTCTGAAAGGGCTGGTTTCTGTGTGGCCCTTAGGGAAGAAAGTCTAATGGTGGTTAGGGTGGGAGATGGTATAATGAGGCCTCCCCAACCTCCCTATTCTGTCATTGCTGGGAACTCAGCTTCCAAAGTTTCTCTGCAATCCCCCTTTCCAATAGGGGGTCCATTCAGTCAGATGGGGCTTAGAATTTTATTTTTATTTCTCAGGTAGGAAGGAACTTTGGGGTGATAGAAATTTTGATTATGGTGGAGGTTACATGATTGTATGTGTTTGTCAAAATGCAAAAAAGTAACACCTTAGAAGAATTTTACTGTATTTAAATTATACCTCTATAAACGTGAATTACCAAAAAACAAAAATCAAAAAAAAAAAAACAAAACAAAAACAGAAAAAGTACAATTAAAGGTGAAATAATAAAACTCCAAAACTTAGCATGTAAGGCTATTTCATGACTTTCTAGATAGAACAAAAGTTGCGTGTGATGAAATCACCTTTTTTTTTAATGGCATAAGTGTCCCTAAGATTAATAAGCAAGACATCTTGCATGACATTCCCTTGCCAGGGCAGCGTCTGAGAATGGGTGGAAACAGGGAATGATGTGCATGTCCCCAGGCCAAGTCAAAGGCCACACCACTTTGTGTCAGGCCAAATGCATGGGGCAAAAAGTTGGAGATAAATTCTGAGCTGGATAGTGGGAAGGAAAGCAGTGGGCTAGGAGACTGGACAGAAACACAGAGAAATGTGGATGCTAAGATTGAGACGGGCAGAAGCAAAGGAAACTGGCAGAATACCCTGAGAGGCCACACATGGGCCTGTGCTCTAAAGGTGTGGAAACCAAGGAATCCCGTCACTCAAAACAAATCTCTGCACCTTTAAGTCTCTACTTAATTCCATTCAAGTATCTTTAATGTGACTCTTCCCATACAAGGATAACCTGAATAGATGGGGAGTGTAGCACATGAATTAAAATCCCACTAAATTTGGAATTTTTAACAATTCAGCTTTTGGGTATTTGTTTCTTACTGCCTAAAAAATTACACATTTTTTCTTCTGTAATTTTTTAAATTATACTTTAAGTTCTGGGATACATGTGCAGAATGTGCAAGTTTGTTACATAGGTATACACATGCCATCAACCCATCATCTACATTAGGTATTTCTCCTAATGCTATCCCTCCCTTAGCCCCCCACTCCCTCACAGGCCCTGGTGTGTGATGTTCCCCTCCCTGTGTCCATGTGTTCTCATTGTTCAACTCCCATTTATGAGTGAGAACATGCGGTGTTTGGTTTTCTGTTCCTGTGTTAGTTTGCTAGGAATGATGGTTTCCAGCTTCATCCATGCCCCTGCCAAGGACATGAACTCATGCTTTTTTATGGCTGCATAGTATTCCATGTTATATATGTGCCACATTTTCTTTATCCAATCTGTCATTGATATGCATTTGGGTTGGTTCCAAGTCTTTGCTATTGTGAATAGTGTTGCAATAAACATACATGTGCATGTGTCTTTATAGTAGAATAATTTATAATCCTTTGGGTATATACCCAGTAATGGGATTGCTGGGTCAAATGGTATTTCTGGTTCTAGATCCTGGAGGAATCACCACACTGTCGTCCACATGGTTGAACTAATTTACACTCCCACCAACAGTGTAAAAGCATTCCTATTTCTCCATATCCTCTCCAGCATCTGTTGTTTCCTGACTTTTTAATGATTGTCATTCTAACTCGCATGAGATGGTATCTCATGTGGTTTTGATTTGCATTTCTCTAATGACCAGTGATGATGAGCTTTTTTTCATATGTTTGTTGGTCACATAAATATCTTCTTCTGAGACGTGTCTGTTCATATCCTATGCCCACTTTTTGATGGGGTTTTTTTTCTTGTAAATTTGTTTAAGTTTCTTGTAGATTCTGGATGTTAGCCCTTTGTCAGATGGATAGATTGCAAAAATTTTCTCCCATTCTGTAGGTTGCTGTTCACTCTGATGATAGTTTCTTTTGCTGTGCAGAAGTTCTTTAGTTTAATTAGATCCCATTTGTCAATTTTGGCTTTTGTTGCCATTGCTTTTGGTGTTTTTAGTTATGAAGTCTTTGCCCATGCCTATGTCCTGAATGGTATTTCCTGGGTTTTCTTCTAGGGTTTTTATGATTTTAGGTCTAACATTTAAGTCTTTAATCCATCTTGAGTTAATTTTTGTATAAGGTGTAAGGAAGGGGTCCAGTTTCAGTTTTCTGCATAGTGCTAGCCAGTTTTCCCAACACGATTTATTAAATAGAGAATCCTTTCCCCATCGCTTGTTTTTGTCAGGTTTGTCAAAGATCAGATGGTTGTAGATGTGTGGTGTTATTTCTAAGGCCTCTGTTCTGCTCCATTGGTTTATATCTCTGTTTTGGTACCAGTAGCATGCTGTTTTGGTTACTATAGCCTCGTAGTATAGTTTGAAGTCAGGTAGCATGATGCCTCCAGCTTTGTTCTTTTTGCTTAGGATTCTCTTGGCTATACAGGCTCTTTTTTGGTTCCATATGAAATTTAAAGTAGTTTTTTCTAATTCTGTGAAGAAAGTCAGTGATTCTTCCTATCCATGAGCATGGAATGTTTTTCCATTTGTTTGTGTCTCCTCTTATTTCCTTGAGCAGTGGTTTGTAGTTCTCCTTTAAAAGGTCCTTCACATCCCTTGTAAGTTGTATTCCTAGGTATTTTATTCTTTTTGTAGCAATTGTGAATGGGAGTTCATTCATGATTTGGCTCTCTGTCTATTATTGGTATATAGGAATGCTTGTGATTTTTGCACATTGATTTTGTATCATGCGACTTTGCTGAAGTTGTTTATCAGCTTAAGGAGATTTTGGGATGAGATGATGGGGTTTTCTAAGGCGACGCCCCACCCTGCTTCACCTCACCCTCGGTGGGCTGCACCCACTGTCTAACCAGTCCCAATGAGATGAGCCAGGTACCTCAGGTGGAAATTCAGAAATCACCCGCCTGCTGCATTGGATCTTGCTGGGAGCTGCAGACTGGAGCTGTTCCTATTTGGCCATCTTGCCAGCCACCCTCTTCTGTAACTTTTTTTCAGATATTTTACCACTTATCTGCAATCTTACAACACCTTTAAACTAGAGGCATAGTAAGATGCAAATTTTTAAATATACCATCACTACGTCTAGTGATGAGTTGTTTTAATTTAGAAAAGTACTTTAAATACAATGCATGACGCCTTAATATAAAATGTAAGCCTATTATGAATCCTCATTCTTTGTCAACTTCCTTTATCAATATGCCCTTTTATTGGCATTTACAATAAGTACTCTGATATATACTAGAATGTATCCTCTTATTACTATATATAAATACATGCCTGTGCATACACATACAAGTCTGTATAAAGTATATGTACGCACATATGTATACTCTCTCTATAGAGAGAGAATTTATTCTCATATATATGCTTTTCAATGTCTTTGATTTTCCTGTCATCTCACTGAGTCAGACTGCCTTTGCCACCAGCATTTTGAGTTACAGCGGTGAGATTCTACTATATGCAAAATAAACAGGTTATCATCAGTCAAAAAACATATGGAAATCTCAGAGTTGTGGCCATAAGGTAGAGAGACAGATCTTTGGACAAAACATACCAGAAGTTATACATCAAAATAGAACAGCTCTCTTCAGAACCATCACATTGGAAGGTAGACTCATCAGGGGTCAGATTTGGTTGCAAACAACAGAATCCACCTCTGACTGGACAGATAGGACTGGGGCATGGGCAGGGTCAGGGGAGTCTGGGCAGCTGGAATCACAGTCAAAAGTTCAAAATCACATCACAAGAAGAGTAGGTCAGGATACTGTTGCTCGTCTGGCCACTGCTGCCACCCGGGAATGAGTCTTCAGCTCTTGCCTGTTTCTTTGTGCCACTCATTTCAGATTCAGAGACTGGAGGGAGTGTCGGATTGGCCCAGCCAAGGACATACGTCCAGGAATTGGCTTCCCTGGAACATCTGCTCCCTTTTCAGGTTCTGGAATGAAAGGCGGGGACAAAACTAGAAATGTGTCCCCTAAAATAGGAAGGGTAGCCAAAAATGACTAAGTATTTGCCAAAAAAGTTGAATCTGAATTTGATTACGCCTCTAGATCAAACAGGAAATACAGAAAACAGGATATGTAGGCCAGGCACAGTGGTTCATACCTGTAATCTCAGCACTTAGGGAGGCTGAGGTGGGCAGAACACTTGAGGTCAGGAGTTTGAGACCAGCCTGGTGAAACCCTGTCTCTACCAAAAAATACAAAAATTAGCCAGGTGTGGTGGCGTGTGCCTGTAATCCCAGCTACTCCGGAGGCAGGAGAATTGCTTGAACCTGGGAGGCAGAGATTGCAATGAGCTGAGATCACACTACTGCACTCCAGCCTGGGCAACAGAGTGAGACCCTGTCTCAAAAACAAAAACAAACAAACAAAAAAACAAACAAACAAAAAAACAGGATATGTCAACATCACCATGGGGATGCAATCTTCTACAAAATCCAGACTGGGAGAGCTACAAAAAAAAAAGTCTTCAACAAGCAAATTGCAAAAAGGAAAAATTAGATAGAAGGGTAATGTATAGATTAAAGCAGTCTTAAAAATATGTAAATTAAATATAATGTAGGGGTCTTATTTGAATCGTGACTCACAAACTTTTCCTAAAAAATCACAAGTTAGAGAAATCTGACTGGAGAATGCTGACTGGATATCTGATAATATTAAGAAATTATTAAGTTTTTAGGTGCAATAATGGTATTGTGCTTAAGCTTCAAAATAAAGGCCTTCAAAATTAATGTGTGTATTTGAGGGTCCCCTAAGACACCCTCGGAGTCAAAGTTTCACTAGAAGGACTCACAACTCAGGAAAGCTGTTTACTCAGAGTTACAGTTTATTGCACTGAAAATATATAGATTAAAATCAGGAGCGGGGCATGGGGGCTCACACCTGTAATCCTAGCACTTTAGAGGCTTAGGCAGGAGGATCACTTAAACCCAGGAGTTTGAGACCAGCCTGAGCAACATGGCAAGACCCTGTCTCTACTAAAATAATAATAATAATCAAATCAGCAAAGGAAAAAGGTGCATGGGGAGGAGTCCAGGAGAGACCAGGCACAAGCTTCCATTGTCTTTATCAGTGCGGTAGCAGAGAGAGTGCTTACTCCTCCTAGCAGGGATGCGTGATGACTCACACAGAGTACTGTCATCCAGGGAAACTCATCCAAGCCTTGGTATTGAAGACTTTTATTGGAAGTTGATCACATAGGTATGGCTGAATTCTCCACTTGGCCGGTCTTCAGTTTCTAGCCCTTCCAGAGGTCAAGTTGATACCCTGTGGCCCAAGGCCCCACTACAAATCACATTGTTAGCATAAATATCTAGTGTGGCCCAAAGCCTCTGATATAAAAAGACACTCTTATCAGGCCCAATATTCCAAAGGTTTACAGGTTATCTCCTAGGAAATGGGCAAGAGACAAACTTTTCCTTGGAATGTGCAGGGTTTAGACCACACAGACCTGCTGAGTGAATCCTTTACTGGGCAATATGCTATTGGAAATCAGAATAACAGCCACCCTCGGGGCAGGCAGTGACGGGAACGAGACATCAGTGTGGCTTCTGGAATGCTGACCGTGTTCTGTATCTTGATCTGGATGTGTGCAGTTCATGGACATGAATTGAGCTGCTCACTTCTGATCTGCGAATTTTCTGTATCCATATAATACTAAAAGTTTTTAAATAGAACCCTTTTAGAGTGGTTATTTCTCAACCCTGGCACTTATGACATTTTGGGCTAGATAGTTCCTTGTTGTGGAGCTGTCCTGTGCACCATTGGTCCCTAACCTTTTTGGCACCAGGGACAGGTTTCATGGAAGACAATTTTTCTACAGACCAGGAGGGGAATGGTTTGGGGATGACTCAAGAACATTACATTTATTATGTACTTTATTATCATTACATTGTAATATATAATGAAATAATTATACAACTCACCATAATGTAGAATCATTGGGAGCCCTGAGCTTGTTTTCCTACAACTAGATGGTCCCATCTGGAAGTGATGGGAGACAGTGACAGATCATCAGGCATTAGATTCTCATAAGGAGCATGCAACCTAGATCCCTCACATGTGCAGTTTAACAGGGTTTGCATAATAGGGTTCACATTCCTGTGAGAATCTAATGCCACCACTGCTGATCTGACAGGAAGTGGAGCTCAGGCAGCAATGCCAGCAGTCGGGAGGGGATGTAAATACAGATGAAGCTTCAATTGCTGACCACCGTTCACCTCCTGCTGTGCAGCCTAGTTCCTAAGAGGCCATGGACAGGTTGGGGATCCCTGCTGTGCATTATAGAATGTTTAGCAGCATACCTGGCCTCTGCCCACTAGATGCCAGGAGCAACCCCCACTTCATTCCCAGTTGTAAAAACCAAAAATGTCTCTATCTATTGCCATATATCCCCTGGGTGGCAAATCACCATTAGTTCAGAGCCATTGTTTTAAACATATATATTGAAAAGTTTACAATTGAAATGACATATCAGAAATTTGCTTCAAAATAATCCCAAGGGAAGAAGTAGCTGGGGGTATAAAGAAAACAAGGTTGGCCATGAGTTGTTAGTTGTTGAAACTTAGTGATGGGTACATGAGGATTCACTACACTACTCTCTATACTTTTTATGTCTTTGAAATTTTCCACAATAAAAGGTTTTCAATAGCAGGAAAATGTTTATGGCATAAGGTTAAATGGAGAAAAAATAATCAGAATAACATATATAATATACACATAGTAAAAAAGAAGACAACAGGGCAATATGTGATTGCCTCTGGATGGCCGTGCTGTGAGACAATTATGGGCATTTTGTTTTATTTTTTTCATAATTGATGCATTTCTCAATTTTTAGTATTATGAACTTTTTTATAATTGGAGAAAAAAGCAAGTATTTCAATTTTAGCATGATAGTTATTGCATAGAAGCTCAGAGGAAGGAATTTACTAACCCTGGCCAGGAAACTTTAAGCTAAAATTGACCTCTGGCATTTAGGTTGAGCTTAGAAGGATACATAAATAGTTCTATAGGTTAACTAATGAGGTCTGGTTGGGATACCTGGGTATAGGAGCCACATACATACCCGAAGCAGAGGGACAAGAGAAGATGTCACTTTTAACAAAACACAAGGTGTTTATCACAGCGGAAAGAGGGGCTATGCCTGGGAGCATGCACTTGCAGAGAACATGTAAGGTAAGGCCATAAGGAGAGTGTCACATTGGGGAGGATATTTTATTCTTGGCTCCTTTTTATTATGTCAACTTCCTTGCCAAAAACTCTCAAAGGCTTTCCATCATACTCAGAAGGAAATTCATCCTCCATGCCATGGCCTGCCTGCACCCTCTGGCCCTGCCTGCACCCTCTGGCCCTGCCTGCCTCCCCCATCACTCATATGTTCACTCCAGCCACACTGACCTCTCAGCTGCTGCTGGAACCCACCAAGCACACATCCCCCGGAGACCTGGGCAGCCGCTGTTCCCTTTGGTCTCTATGCCACCCCCACCCACCACATGCCATCCAATCCAAGGATCAATGACTTTGCTCCTCGCTTCACTCTGGTCCAGTGACACCTCACCAAGGAGGTCTTACCTGACCACCCTGTCACCACAAGCCACCATCATTCTGTATCTTCTCACAGCACTTGATGTTTCCACGGCAGTTTCCACTATCCAGCATCGGCATGTATTTATTTATCATCTCTTACTCCCCTGTATCACAACTGGCCCTCTCCCCCAACTTCACACACAAAAACCACACTAGAACGAGGGCAGTCGCTGCATTCTTCACTGCTGTATCTTTGTCACCTAGAATAGTCTCTGGCATATGTTAAGAACTCCATATATATTTCTTAACTGAATAGACCGTATACATCACATGGTGGGCAATAAGTGCGGGGCTTAAAATCGTGGGTTTTGGAGTTAGGAAGAGCTGTGTTCAAATTCCACCTCTGATTTTCACAGACCACATGACCTTAGGCAATTCAGGTAACTTCTCTCAGCCTCATCTATGAAAGGGGGCTAAACTGTAACAGGGTTGTTTTGCAGGCTAAAGGGGATACTGTACGTAAATCCCTGAGCACAGTGCCCATTAGACAGTAAGTAGCAATTAACCAAAGGTCAGAAGTGTCAAAAAACAAAATTACCACAAATTTTTAAATATTTTAATTGGCTTTATTTGCAATTTTAGAATCAGGCAACACTTCATTCCATAAAATAGAATAATTGTTCTGCTGAGCTGAGCAGAGGAGATTGGTTTATAGACAAAGAAAGGCTGAGGAAAGCAGAAACAAAACAAAAAGCAAATTGGTCATTTCAAAGCGACTTTCCTTGTAAAAAAAAAATGTTAAAGCAGAGGGGACTTCCTTATGCTGGCTGGGACTGGTCTGTTTGGGGATTTGGCCATTCTCTCTCTCTCTCCTGATTTCTCAGAAGGTCAGATAAACAACTTATTTTCAGCTTGGTGATATGTAACCTTAGCATGAGTGACTCCATTTTGGTTTGGTCTGCTGGGGCCTAATCCAAAACAAAGGCCTCCTGTAAGTTTTGTCCAGCACATATGAGCAAGTGGCTAGACTTGCAGCCTAAATCTAACCCACAGAAATGTGAATGACACACCCAGAGACTGGGAATTAAAAATTAGTTGATTTCCTACACTGAAACATTGGGCACTCTTACATAAATACCTGGTTCTGGAGCTTCTCTTTAGCAACTGGCCCGTCTTCTTCGGGGCAGCCATAAGCTGGAACTCAGTAGAGGTTCCCCCTTTGGAGAGGGAAGTGTTGGACCATTTCCATGTTGTCCCAGCCCACTTCCCTGTGACATCACCTACCTGGTCGCTGTGAGCATGCCTGTTTGCACCCCAGCAATATATGGAGGTAGTAGGGTTGATGTTTTTATGGTTGGCACTTGAACAGCTGCTATTCTCTTTTAGGGTTACCCACCGTTTAAATTTTCATGGCCACTAGAGGGCAATACAGATCTATTTTTTTAAAATACAGCAAAGGTTTTTGTTTTTTTTTTAAAATGTTACACGTTCTTAAATATGTGAGTAATTTATATAAATATATATTATATATTTTTATGTGCACATATATACAGGGAAGACTTTTTCTTTTTGATGATGATGAGGAGAACAATGCTATGTGCCAGGCCATGCTGATTGTTAACATTGTTAGATGTAAACAGGAGACACCATCAGTCCTCAGCAGAGACCTAAGACCTGAGTAACTTAGACTCCACCTAGGTAGTTACACATGGAGGAGAAGCACAAACAGATGGTTTTCTTCCCTTTGCTTCCAGCCTCCTAGAGCTATGAATTCTAGCATTCACTTACGTAGCACAGGAGGAGTGAGCTAGCAGAAAGTTTAAGAGCAGAGACCATAGGGGTGTACTACTACCCAAGTTCAAATCCTGGCTATGCCACTTAGAAGACATGGGATTGTAAAAGAAAATAAAACCTCAGGATCCCTAAACTTGTTATGCCCAAGGGACAATTAAGCCTGGGAACTGAGTCATACAACACAGCCATTCGTTTTCCCCCCGAACAGATAGCTGTAATTTCACAGCCCTGTGTTGTGAAATAAGCCAGGTTCTCACAATGACAAAAGGCCATATAACTCTCTGGATGGCCTCCCTCACAAATTACAAGGAAATTCCTTGCTAGCCCCTAAATATTTCAGATGACATATCCCCCCTATAAAACAAGCACATGCCCATGGTAACCTTGGGTCTGCAATCTAAGTTTAACTCCTACAACCAAGTTCTGTTAAATCTCACACTGACAATGTCGATTACAAACTTATCTTCCCAGGTGTAGAACAAGGACAAGCTGAGATCAATCACTCCTCTGCCTCCCCTGAGATGTGTGTGTAATTGACTCTTGCCTCTACTCCCTCTTTTCAGATATTCACCTTATCTTACATAAAACGTAGACTTACTGAGCATGAAGGAGAGCCTTACCAGAATATAATCATTTGCCTCACTGCCTACCCTCCCTCCCTTTGCTTGCTCTGTCCCCTTAAATACTGAGTTCCCGAAACCCTCTTTGGAAACAGCACAGGTCACAGATGTTTCTGTGGCTTGTGTTTTTCCTGGGCATGTCCTCAAACTTTGGCTCAATAAACCTCTACTGATTGAGACATTTGCCTCAGTCACTCATTTATTGGTTAACAGGATGTTTGGTTGGTTACTTTCAGTGTAACATTTTCCACATCTGTACAAGTGGGTTGTTGGGAGGATGAAATGAATTAATATGTGTGGGGCCAGCTTCCTCAGAGAGTGGCCAATGCAGTCTCAGCCCCTGGCTCCTCCTCAGAGGGCCTCTTTTTTGGAGTAATGCTCTCTGGTTGCTGTCTTAAAATTTTTCCTAATTTTCTCTTGGAATCTGTGTTTTATAAGTGAGGTCTGATGAGCCAATGAGGCACATGCCAGGGACTTGGAGCCTCAACTCAGACGTGGTCCTGCCTCCCACTATGTCCCCAGGATGAATACTCTGCCACCTCCTCCCTGGCCCCCTGGGGCAATAGCCACAGGGAGCTAAGCACCAGGAAAGTGTCCTTTGGGAACATAGGTCACTGACAATTGGCCCAGCTTTCAGGGAATTGGGGGCAGCCTTCAAGCTGAATTCTGAGACTCAGCCTTACTGCAGGTGGAGAGAGTAAGGAGTCCTGGGAAGTGAGGCCCAGAGAGGTAAGCAGAAGAATGACAAGAACCAATTTGCTCTAAGCCAACAATAACTGCCCAAACAGTACAATTAACTACAGCAAGAATGGACCCAGATGGAATGAAGAAAAGTTTAGCACATCCCTCAAGATTAAGTATGTTTCTAAAACATCCTTCTTAAAGGATGCTTCTAGATGATCAAGAATCTCTAGTACAAGAAATCATCTTTGAGCTAACTACTAATGATCCCAAAGTAGCATAAACATTAGTTCTTAAAGCACTAGAGATTAAGAAATTCTAAATCAGATGGACATCAACAAGACAACAATATTTTGGGATTTTTCACTAAAATTTTAAAGGAGTCATAAACTTTTATGAAATCAACTGAGAATTCCACAACACCCATAAATTCATCTTATCAGTGATAATATTATAATAAGGACAGCAGTAATAAGTTTATTACTGAATAAGGTAAGGGAAGCAGAAACACTAAGGAGAAAAATTAAATGATGGTTGACTTCAATTAGGAAGACAATAGAAAAAGATTTAAATACTTTTCAACAGTAAATAGAAGACTGACAAGTTATTTCAATTTTAAAATATGCATCAAAAATATTGAAATTCCTGAGGGCAATATATTATGTTTTTAAGCAGTTTACACATTCTAATCCAACAAGTCAAGTCTACTTGGACACAGTAAATTTAGACTGATGGTTTATGACGCTCCAAACTAAAATCGGTATCATAAGACCATAAACAATCCCATTTATGTTTATTTTAATTATGATTAATGGTTTGCCATTTGTGTAGTTTTAAATGCTTTAAATAACCTGAACTTGGAATGAATCAACCTCCCCCTGAATTTACATGAAGTATTAGTTTTTTACCAAATTTGATTACAAATTATGAAAGCAAGTTTTAAAATTACCCTCCTTTGTTTTGTAATGGTAAACATCTTTTTTCAGACCTAAAATCATTCCATTCTGATATAATGGTAAACATTATTTTAAAATATTATTATTTTTGTTGTATGGTTAAATCCCATGGCTTTTCATATTTTGAAGAGTTCTGTAGCACTTTGGTAAATAAATATCAACAAATGATAAAGTTATCATGGAAATATAAATTGAAAGCCTTATTTATAAAAATGAAGTCATAATGCTTTTTCTACTCTTGCTGCTTTCACAACCAAATTTTTCTTTGTTGTATCACCTAATCAAAGTATGATGAGTGGGTCTCAGATTCAGCCTAAGAAAAGGAAGAAATGCTTATAGAAGTTCTAAAGCTAGAAAGATTTATCTACACAACTTACAGACTTTTTTGAGATATAATGTTTATAAAAATTTGGAAGAACCCAAAATGCCTAACAATACAGAACTAATTAAATATATCACATGAGAAAGTATGTATTTATTTTTTTATTTTATTTATTTATTTATTTTTTTTGAGACAGAGTCTCACTTTACTGCCCAGGCTTTGATCCCTGGGATCAAACCAGGAGGTTGGAGTGCAGTGGCATGATCTTGGCTCATTGCAAACTCTGCCTCCTGCATTCAAGCAATTCTCCTGCCTCAGCCTCCAGAGTAGCTGGGACTACAGGAGTGTGCTACCACGCCTGGCTAATTTTGTGTTTTGTAGAGATGGGGTTTCACCAAGTTGGCCAGGCTGGTCTCAAATGCCTGATTCGGGTGATCTGCCTGCCTTGGCCTCCCAAAGTGCTGGAATTACAGGTGTGAGCAACTGCACCCAGCCTGTAGGTATTTAAACTATATTATAAAACAGTATTTATTAACATGAAAATGTTTATAATCTATCACATGTTAAAAGCCAGTCATACATGTATTACATAAGGCTCTTTTTGTAAATTTGATAATGTGTATCTTTTTGGAAAGGAAAAACACTAGAAGAATTTGTTTTCACTCTTAATGGTGATTACCTTTGGGGAGATGGTGCTGTTGCGGGAATCAGGAGACTGGAGAGACCTCTGGGTGGAACAGGAAGATTTTATTGAATGCACTTAGGCCCCGTGGATTAACATCCAAAGGCTGGGCTCTGAACAAAGACAGGGCTTGACTTTTATACACACTTCTGAAAGGTGGTTGGCTAGTTTGAAACAAGTTTACAGTGGCGTGGAGTGCAGTGGCATGAAAGCAAGTGTACGGAAGCAGAACAAAGGCAGTTAATCAAACTGTGACAGGTTCATAACTCAGGCTTTCATGTGACTCTTGCTATGCGGCCCAGATGGCTGTTATCTCAGCTTGCTCAAGAGCCTTGCACAAGCTTATCTCATATCCTTCACTATGGTGCCTAGATGGCTGCAGTCCAGTCCTGCTCAGGCATGTCTCATGACCTTCACTGTGCTACTCAGATGAAAAACAGAAATTTACAGTCACTAGTTACAGAAAATAGGAATCCATAAACTCATAAAACTTGCAGAGCAGAGTACAACCACATGGAGTGGGGAGGAATTTTGTGGGGGACGTTTACTCATACCAAAGGAGAGAGGAAAATTTGTTTTTCTTTTTCACATTTCCTGCTTCAGTGCATTCTCTAATGACTTTTTCTCTTTCTTTCTTTCTTTCTTTCTTTTTTTTTTTTTTTTTTGAGATGAAATCTCACTGTGTCACCCAGGCTGGAGTGCAGTGGCGTGATCTCAGCTCACTGCAAGCTCCTCCTCCTGGGTTCACACCATTCTCCTGCCTCAGCCTCCCAAGTAGCTGGGACTACAGGTGCCTGCCACCACGCTTGGCTAATTTTTTGTATTTTTTAGTAGAGGCAGAGTTTCACCATATTAGCCAGGATGGTTTCGATCTCCTGACCTCGTGATCCACCCGCCTCAGCCTCCCAAAGTGCTAGTATTACAGGCGTGAGCCACCGCGCCTGGCCTTTTTTTTTTTTTTTTTTTTTTTTTTTTGAGATGGTATCTTGCTCTGCCACCCAAGCTGGAGTGCAGTGGTGTGATCTCAGCTCACTGCAACCTCTGCATCCCGGGTTCAAGTGATTCTCTTGCCTCAGCCTCCCCAGTAGCTGGGATTACAGGCACCCACCACCATGCCTGGCTAATTGTTTGTATTTTTAGTAGAGACAGGGTTTCACCATGTTAGCCAGGCTGGTCTCGAACTCCTGACCTCAGGTGATCTGCCTGCCTCGGCCTCCCAAAGTGCTGGCATTGCAGGCATGAGCCACCACACCTGGCCCCTTATGACTTTTTTGTTTCCTTATGAATGTCTATGCATAAGACACTGTCTGGAACATTAAATCATCTTGAAAGTGCATGTCTGTGGGATCATATCTGGACTCTCAGTTAACAGAAAACTTGTAAATAATTTACGATTTATCTTTTTAAAAAGTTAGAGCAGATTCATATTTATCCCTACAATGACTTATTGCTCACTTTATATTCTTCTACATGCTCTCTTAAGCAGGGAAGAAAAGGGTAAGTATAAGATACACTTGAAGGTTGGGCATACTCCTGGATTCTCACCTGTATATGTGTCATTTATGGCTATGTTAGATGCTGTTCCTTCTACTTGGAACCCATCTCTTCCTAATCACTCTCAGGTCTAAGCATAAGTGCAACTTCCCCCGGAAATTTTCCTTGATCCCTTGTGTTAGGCTATTCTTGCATTGCTATAAAGAAACACCTGAGGCTGGGTAATGTATAAAGAAAAGAGATTTAATTGGCTCATGGTTCTGCAGGCTGTATCAGCATGGCTCCAGCATCTGCTTCTGGTGAGGGTCTCAGGAATCTTCCAATCATGGCAGAAGGTAAAGAGGGACTGGGGGAGCAGGTGTGTCACATGGGGATAGCCAGAGCAAGAGAGACAGGCAGAGGTGCCACACACTTTCAAACAACCAGATCTCATGAGAACTCACTATCAGGGGGACAGCATCAAGCCATGAGGGATCCACCCCAATGACCCAAATACCTCCCCTCAGGCCCCACCTCCAACATTAGGGATTGCAATTTCAGCATGAAATTTGGCGAGTACAAATATTCAAACCATATCATCCCTATACATTTATATTAGGTGCTTTCACATGTCCCTGTAATATCCTCTATGCCCATATCAAAGCATTTATCACACTACTATTTTTCATTTACTTAGCTGTAATCCTTCCTAGAATGTGAGCTTCGTGGAAGAAAAAACTTATATCTTTCTTGAGATCACTGATCCTCAGTCCCTAAGACCATGCCTGAATCCAAGTAGATGCTCAATAGATATTTGTCAAGTGGACAAACAGATCTATCTTGTCTATTAGAGTAGGGGAAAAAAGATGAAAAGCCACTATGGGAAAGTTTCTCTCAAGATCTTCCCCAGAAGCCACTGACTAAAAAGGGCATGAAAGAGTATATTTCAGGGGACCAAATGTTCAGACCACATGCAGCCAGGAGAGGCTGAGGATAGGGCTGGGTTTACGAATAGATACAGGATGAACCAAAGAGTAGATGGAAAAGATTATTGAGAAATGGCCAACATAGGAGGTCGAATCAGATAAGGAAGATAAATTAAAGGCTAAGGAGACTGGGATAGTTGCTTTTCATCCTTATAAGTAATCCATGTGATCTTTTACGGCAGGGAACAGACTCTCGCTATTTGAGATTATAGCCATCCAGAGGAGGACTGTCAACATCACATGAGATTTAACCCCTTATAAAATTAGCCATTAGACTCTTGGGGCCCAATCTCTTAATGTTGCAAATGACTATTATAAAAACATGATTTTTAAAAATCATTCTGTCTCTGCCCTTATGGCATACACAAGCAGCAAATCACATCTGCCACATGAACTCCTAGGCTACAGGGTTAGAACACTGCTGCTTTCTAATCTTAAAAGGACAAACTGGGCTCCAGAACTGGGAATCTGGCAGTTTACATGACAGGGCTGCTGCAAATCCAGGAGTCTCGTCTCAGAGCAAGTTAGGAAAGCAGCAAGAGCTGTTCTCTCTAAGGTAGAAGCCAGCTTATGCTCATAATGGCATTGGTGTTTGTGAATATACATCTCTGAATCCAATCCCACCTCCAAGGAAATCCTCAGAATAGAAGAGAACACCTACCTCCATGCCCTGCATATGGAACAGCAGAGGTTTGGGTGTTCAATTCAGGGAAACAAATTATTGGTATGATTTATCATGCTCTCTAACTTGGAAATGCTTACCAGAAGTGAGTCATTTATTTCTAGATTACGAATACTAAAAGCTGCTTCTGATAAAATGAAGGACATGAAAAAAGACAGCTGGCAGAAGTATTTACCTTAATTATTATCTTTGATAATAAAAATATAAATAGAGACACAATTCTCTCAACATTCATCCAAGCTGTGGAAACAGGCCAGAATTAAGTGTAGCTATACAGTTGTCCCTCAATATCTGCGGGAGATTGGTTCCAGGACCCTCTGAAGATACCCAAAATCCAAGGATGCCCAAGTTTCTTTTACAAAATGGCAAAGTATTTACATATAACCTACGCACCCTATGCACATCCTCCTGTATACTTTAAATCATCTCTAGATTACCTATAAGACCTAATACAATGTAAATGCTATGTAAATAGTTATGTTGTATTTTTAACTTTTAAATTTGTTGTGTTGTTATTTTTTATCATTTTTAAAAAATATTTTCCATCCATGGTTGGTTGAATCCCCTCCTGGATGTAGAACCTACAGATATGGAGGGCCCACTATACATGTGTCTTTCCTGAAGAAAATCTTAAATCCAAAATACAAATGTTCAAAACAGAAAAATGTGGCTCTCCTTACCCTCTACTCTCAGTAGAAAAATATTAATGGACCCTGCAGAAAATACAGCAGGCACATAACCTTTTGGATTACCAGTAACCAAGGGAGATGAGGGGTAATATCTACAGTCTAAAAGAATACTTTGCTGCTCTGGTCAAAAAGGTAAAGAGACAGCTTCCTAGGTTCTGGTTCCAGTAACGGAGTAGCTTAAAATGTACTAATTCTCCCATAGATAACAATTGTAAATTCTGTTCAAAATGTTTAAAAAACCAACTATTTGAAGGCTTTTGAAAATGACCAAAGCAGGCAGAACTGGAAATGAGAGTATGTCTCTGAGGGAGGTGGCCAAGATGGCTGACAAGAAGCAGCTACTGTGCGTGGCTCTCATGGAGAGGAATAAAAGGAGCGAGTAAATACAGAACCTTCAACGGAAACATCCAGGTACTTAGATTGGAACCAATCAAGGAAACAACTCGACCCATGGAGAATGGAGAAAAGCAAGGCAGGATGACAGCCCACCCAGGAGCAACATGGAGCCGGGGGAACCTCCCCTGCTCAGGGAAGCCGTGAGTGAATGTGTGACCCCAGGAACCCATGCTTCTCCCACGGATCTTGGGTCAGGAGATCCCCTTGTGAACCCCCCCCACCAGGGCCTTCATTCTGATGCACAGAGCTACGTGGGGTCTTGGCAGAGCAGCCACTCAGACACCTGTGGAAATCTGGGAGCCATCAATACCCAGGCTTTCTGGGCTTCCTGGCAAAAGTAGCTGCAACTCTGACAAAGCAGGAGGTTAGACCCTCCTATATACCCCTAGGAATGAGGCTGAATCCAGGAGGCTGAGAAGTGAAAGTCTGCAGGCCCCACTTCCACAGCATCTAACAGGATAAGACCCACTGGCTTAGAATTCCAGCCAGTCCCTGGCAGCAGCATTGCACCTCCCTGAGAGGAAGCTCCCAGGGTGAAAGGCAGGCTGCCATCTTGGCTGTTTGGGCAACTTAGCCATTTCAGCCTTGGGGCTTTGGAGAATCCAAGGCGACCAGCGGTGGAAGGGATACCCCAGCACAGCATAGCTGGTCTACAAAAACGTGGCCAGACTGCTTTTTAAAGTGGGTCCCCGACTCCATTCCTCCTCACCGTCAGGACCTCCCAACCGGGGTCTCCACCCACCCCTGCCGGTGTTTTCTGGCCAACAGAGATTTGAAAGCTCCCTGGGACAGAGCTCCCAGAGGAAGGGATGCGTTGCCATCTTTGCTGTTTGGATGACTTAGCCATTCCAAGCCCAGTGGTGGTAGAAGTGGTTCCCCAGCACAGCAAAGCTGCTCTATGAAAATATGGCCAAACTGTTTTTTTTTTGAGATGGAGTCTCGCTCTGTCACCCAGGCTGGAGTGCAGTGGCGCGATCTCGGCTCACTGCAAGCTCCGCCTCCCGGGTTCACGCCATTCTCCTGCCTCAGCTTCCCCAGCAGCTGGGACTACAGGTTCCCGCCACCAAGCCCGGCTAATTTTTTGTATTTTTGGTAGAGACGGGGTTTCACCATGTTAGCCAGGATGGTCTCGATCTCCTGACCTTGTGATCTGCCCGCCTCGGCCTCCCAAAGTGCTGGGATTACAGGCGTGAGCCACCTCGCCCGGCCCAAACTGCTTTTCTTAAAGCAGGTGCACGATCCCATTCCTCCTCACTGGGTGGGACCTCCCAACCCGGGTCTCCACTCACCTTTGCTGGTATTCTCCAGCAAACAGATTTGAAACCTTCCTGTGTGGGAGCTCCCAGAGGGAGGGGCAGTCTTCTATCTTTGCTGTTTGGGTGAGTGTAAATTAGTTTGAATAATTTTGGAAAGCAGTATGGCAATTCCTCAAAGAGCTAAATGCAGAACTACCATTTGACCCAGCAATCCCATTACTGGGCATATACCCAGAGTAATATAGATTATTCTACCATTAAAGACACATGCACACGAATGTTTGTTGCAGCACTATTCACAGTAGCAGAGATATGGAATCAACCTAAATGCGTATCAATGACAGATTAGGTAAAGAAAATGTGGTACATATACATCATGGAATACTCTACAGCCATAAAGTAGAACGAGATCATGTCTTTTCTGGGAACGTGGTTGGAGCTAGAGGCTATTGTCCTTAGCAAACCAATGCAGAAACAGAAAACCAAATACCGCATGTTCTCACTTATAAGTGGGAGCTAAATGATGGGAACTCATGAACACAAAGAAGCAAACAACAGACACTGGCGTCTACTTGAGTAGGGAGGGTGGGAAGAGGGAGAGAAGCAGAAAAGATAGCTATTGGATACTGGGCTTAATACCTGGGTGATGAAATAATCTGTAGAACAAACCGCCATGACACGAGTTTACCTATGTTACAAACCTTCATGTGTACCCCAAACATAAAAAGTAAAAAAATAAAAAGAATATGTCTCCAGAAAGAAAGGAATTAAACTGGGTAAGATCTACATGTAGACAGGTATTTTTCCCTGAGGGTATTTCTCAGTCGCTAGCCCTACAACTAAAAATAGAAAGCAGTCTTACTGGCTTGAGGTGTCAATGGGAGGACTGGGAAGTTCCAGAATGGCTGATAATGGAGGGCAAAATTCTAGAGAAGAAGGAGCCACAGAGGGAGAAGCCCCCAAATCTACTTACACATTCCATCCAGAAGAGGGGCCTCCAAGGAGTACATTGGAAAGCAACAGCTGGAAGGCAAAAAAGTTGAGTAATGATATCAGCTGCTACCTACAAAAAGGGAGACAAAGTTTGGATACTGAATCCTGCTAAGTTAGAGGGGCTTTTTAAACAGCTTTGGCTTTCTATGGAAACAACAGAAGGGCCTTAGGAGTAAATAACCTGTGACCCAGGACTAATGAGTGAACAGCTGGGAAACATACATGTAATAGAAATACAAGGAGTGGAAAGAGAGGATGGAGAGAAAGAAATATTTGAAGCAATAGTGCCGGAGAATTTCCCAAAATTAATGACAGATACGAACCACAGATCTAAGAATCTTAGAAAACACCAAAGATAAATACCAAAAAACCTATACCAGAGCATATTGTATTAAAACTACAGAAAGCCAAAGAAAAAGAGAAAATCTTGGAAGAAGTCAGGGCAAAAAAGAAAGAACCCCACTTCACCTATAACAGCAACAAGAATAAGAATCACATCAGACTTCTCATCAATAACTATGCAAACAAGAAGACAATAAAGTGATAGATTTAAGATGTTGAAAGGAAAAAAAACAGAAAAGTATCCTTCAAGAGTGAAAGAAAAATGAAGACTTTTCAGACAAATAAATCTGAGGGAGTTTGTTGTCAGTTGACCTGCTTTGCAAGAAATGTTAAAAGAATTTCTCCTTCCTTCCTTCCTTCCTTCCTTCCTTCCTCTCTCTCTCTCTCTCTCTTTCTTTCTTTCTACAGTCTCCCTCTGTTGCTGAGGCTGGACTGTACTGTCGTGATCTCGGCTCGCTGCAACCTCCCTGCCTCGGGCTCCCCTGATTCTCCTGCCTCGGCCTGCCGAGTACCTGGGATTGCAGGCACGTGCCGCCATGCCTGACTGGTTTTTGTATTTTTGGTGGAGACGGGGTTTCGCCATGTTGGCCGTGCTGGTCTCCAGCTCCTGACCTCAAGTGATCTGCCCGCCTTGGCCCCCCAAGGTGCTGGGATTGCAGACGGAGTCTCGCTCACTCAGTGCTCAATGTTGCCCAGGCTGGAGTGCAGTGGCGTGATCTCAGCTCGCTACAACCTCCACCTCCCAGCCGCCTGCCTTGGCCTCCCAAAGTGCTAAGATTACAGCCTCTGCCCAGCCGCCACCCCGTCTGGGAGGTGAGGAGTGCCTCTGCCCGGCCGCCACCCTGTCTGGGAGGTGAGGAGCGTCTCTGCCCAGCCGCCACCCCGTCTAGGAAGTGAGGAGCCTCTCTGCCTGGCCGCCACCCCATCTAGGAAGTGAGGAGCATCACTGCCCAGCCACCCATCATCTGGGAAGTGAGGAGCGCCTCTGCCCGGCCGCCCATTGTCTGGGATGTGAGGAGCACCTCTGCCCGGCCGCCACCCCGTCTGGGAGTTGAGGAGCTCCTCTGCCCGGCCGCCCCGTCTGGGAAGTGAGGAGCGCCTCTGCCCGGCCGCCCCATCTGGGAAGTGAGGAGCGCCTCTGCCCGGCCGCCCCGTCTGGGATGTGAGGAGCGCCTCTGCCCGGCCGCCCCGTCTGGGAAGTGAGGAGCGCCTCTGCCCGGCCGCCCCGTCTGGGAGGTGAGGAGCTCCTCTGCCCGGCCGCCCCGTCTGGGAGGTGAGGAGCACCTCTGCCTGGCCGCCCCGTCTGGGAGGTGAGGAGCGTCTCTACCCGGCCACCCCATCTGGGAAGTGAGGAGCGCCTCTGCATGGCTGCTGTGCAATCTTCCAAGTGTGAAGTGACAGCCTTTCTGCAGGTGTACCCAACAGCTCCGAAGAGACAGCGACCATTGAGAATGGGCCATGATGACGATGGCGGTTTTGTCGAAAAGAAAATGGGGAAATGTGGGGAAAAGAAAGAGAGATCAGATTGTTACTGTGTCTGTGTAGAAAGAAGTAGACATAGGAGACTCCATTTTGTTCTGTACTAAGAAAAATTCTTCTGCCTTGGGATGTTGTTAATCTATAACCTTACCCCCAACCCCGTGCTCTCTGAAACATGTGCTGTGTCAACTCAGGGTTAAATGGATTAAGGGCGGTGCAAGATGTGCTTTGTTAAACAGATGCTTGAAGGCATCAAGCTTGTTAAGAGTCATCACCACTCCCTAATCTCAAGTACCCAGAGAAACAAACACTGCGGAAGGCCACAGGGACCTCTGCCTAGGAAAACCAGAGACCTTTGTTCACATGTTTATCTGCTGACCTTCTCTCCACTATTATCCTATGACCCTGCCACATCCCCCTCTCTGAGAAACACCCAAGAATAATCAATAAATACTAAAAAAAAAAAAAAAAAAAAAAAGAATTTCTTCAGGCAGAAGGAAAATGATATATGTCAGAAACTTGATCTGACATATATTTTCAGAAAGGAAGGGCATTTGGAGAAGGAATAAATGAAGATAAAATAAAATCTTTTATTTTTTATGTTCATAATTGTTCTAATAGATTATTGTTGGTTTAAAATAATAATAGCAACAATGTTTTAGGTGATTATAATTTGTGGGTAAGTGAAATGATTGATCTTACAAGGCACAGTAAGAAGAAACGACATATTCTTGTACAAGGTACATATACTACCCATGAACTGGTATACTGTTATTTGAAATTGGACTTATATTAATTGTAAATATATATTGCAAACTCTAGGACAAACAATAGGAAAATGTTTTAAAAGAAGATAATATATATTGCTAAGAGAGGAGAGAAAATGGAATGATATAAAATCCTTAAAACAGAGAAGTCAGAAAAAGAAGGGAATGTTTTCTGAAAACAAAAACAAAAACAAAAACAAGTGCCACAAATAGAAAACAGTAGCAAATATGGTGGATATTAACCTAAATATATCAATAATCACTTTAGAGGTGAATTTTCTAAATATATCAATTAAAGGACAAACACTGTCAGAGTAGATTAAAAAAACCAAGACCCAAGTAGAGGCTGTCTAAAAGAAAACCATTATAAATATAAATATGCAAATAGATTAAAAATAAAAGAATGGAAAAAGATATATACACCTTGCTAACACTAATTGAAAGAAAGCTGGTGTACCTATATATAAGTTTTAGACAAAGCCAACTTTAGAACAAAGAAAATGACCAGGAAAAGAGAGACATTAATGATAAAGGGGTAAATTCTCCAAAAAGACATAATAATCCTTAGTGTGTGTACACCTAACAACAGAGCATCAAAATATATAAGGCAAAAACTGATGGAACTGCAAGAGAAATAGACAAAGTCACTATTATAGTTGGAGACTTCAATACCCCTCTATCAGTAATTGATAGACGCAGCAGGCAGAAAATCAGTATAGATGTGGTTGAGCTGAACAATAAACCATCAGTCAACTGAATTTAATTGACATTTATAGAATACTTC
Source organism: Homo sapiens (assembly GCF_000001405.40). Taxonomy (NCBI): domain Eukaryota; kingdom Metazoa; phylum Chordata; class Mammalia; order Primates; family Hominidae; genus Homo; species Homo sapiens. The sequence continues at coordinate 123,608 of NW_003315956.1, read as the reverse complement.
ATCCAACAACAGTGGAATACACATTCTTCTCAAGCTCACATGGAATATTCACTAGGATAAACCACATCCCAGTCCAGAAATCACAACTTAATCATACAATAGAAATCATACGAAGTATGTTCTCAGAACAACATGGAATTAAACAAAAAAATCAATAACACAAAGATATATAGAAAAATCTGAAAATATTTGGAAATAAAACCACACACTTGTAAATACACATGGGTTAAAAAAAGGAGTTTTGAGAAATTTTAGAATATTTTGAAAGAAGGTAAATGAAGATACAACTTATCAAAATTTGTGGGGTACAGAAAAAGCAGCGCTTAGTGGGAAATTTAAAATAGTACAGCCACTCTGGGGAACAATTTGACAATTAAAAAAAGAAAACTAAATAAACAACTACCATAGGATCCAGCAAGAACACTCTGGGGAACTGCACTCCCAGAGAAGTGAAGACATGTTCACACAAAAAGGATCCTTGTGGTGATGGAAATGTTCTGTATCTTCACTGTATCAATGTCAATATCCTGGTTGTGATACTGTACTACACAGATTTGCAAGATGTTACCATTGTGATAAAGGGTACAGGGGATCTCTCTGTTATTTCTTACCACTGCATGTGAATCTATAATTATTTCAAAATAAAAAGAATTTTATTAAATGACTAAAAAAAGGATAGAGGTGTGGGTTACATGGCTATATGGACTGGTCAACACTCACTGAGCCATATCCTTAAGATCTGTACATTTCACTGTATGTAAATTTTATCTTAGTTTTTTAAACAAGATTTTGTTTCTAAGTTGCCTAACTTAACTGCTTTTCAATATACCAGGGCAAAAGAGTACTCATAATAAAGAATTTGAGGCACAGTCTGCTAGTCACATTATAATTTCTCATAAATACTTTTGTGTGTTCCTTAGAGACTTGAGTCAACCTAATTTTAACAGAGCTAAATTGATATTATATTAAATTATATTCAACTCTCTAATCATATATAGTCTTAGCTCCAGTTTGAGTCACATTCTTTGCAATGTATCAGGAAGATCCCTCAATATCTTGAGTAATTCTTCCCTTTTGCCACTTATATTAGTAAGTATATTTGTGGAACAATGGCAATGGTTTATTAGGAGATGGGATATTTCATAAAAGCAATCATTTAATATTATGAAACAAAACTGCATACTATCAAATATAATGCTACTCAAAGCACTACACTCATTTCATTTATGATTAGGTATAATTTACTTATAAATTATAAAATATTAAAGCCATACTTAATAAGCAAAATAAATTAGAAAACTAAAAATATTGACTGAAAAAAAGGCCACGTTTTTATCAAGGTCCTTAGTCAATGAAAGCTTCTTAGTTTTTATTACGTAATTAGTAACAGAATTTCAGTATTTCTTGAAGCCTAATTTAGAGACTCTTTTCTTAAAAGATGAGACTTGCGTGTAATTATCAGAATGTTTTTTACATATTTTATGACCCATCCAGACGGAATATCCTTTTTTTTCTCTTTCCACCTTTTATTTCAGATTTGGGGGTGCATGTGCAGGTTTGTTACATGGGTAAATTTCATATTGCAGGGTTTGATGTACAGATTATTTTGTCACTCAGGTAATAAGCATAGTACCTGATAAGTAGTTTTTTGATCCTCACCCTCCTCCCAACCTCCACCCTCAAGTAGGCCCTGGTGTCTGCTGTTCCTTTCTTTGTGCCCATGTGTACTCAATGTTTAGCTCCCACTTATAAGTGAGAACATTTACTATTTGGTTTTCTGTCCCTGTGTTAATTTGCTTAGGATAATGGCCTCCAGCTCCATCCATGTTGCTGCAAAGGACATGATCTTGTTCTTTTTAATGGCTGCATAGTGTTCTATTGTGTATATGTACATTTTATTTATCCAGACTACCATTGATGGGCACTATGAACATACATGTACATGTGTCTTTATGGTAGAACAATTTATCATCTTTTGAGTATGCCCAGTAATGGGATTGCTGGGTTGAATGCTAATTCTAAGTCCCTTGAGAAATGTTCAAACTGTCTTCCATAGTGGCTAAACTAATTTATGATCTTACCAGCAGTGTATAAGTGTTCCCTTTTCTTCATAACCTTGCCACCATCTGCTGTTTTTTGACTTTTTAATAATAGCCATTCTGACAAGTGTGAAATGGTAGCTCATTGTGGTTTTGACTTGCATTTCTCTAATGATTAGTGATGTTGATCATTTTTCCATATGATTGTTGGGTGCCTGTATGTCTTCCTTTGAGAAGTCAGAGAGAATATCCTTTAATTTCATCATAAATGTATTGCCCAGAAGTAACTAGAAATATTAGAATCATAGAATATTAAAACTAGAAGGTCCTTAGAGAGATGTTTATGCAACCATCTTGATACATACAGGAGGAAGCTGAAGCATGGAAAGAAGTCATTTGCCCAAGGCCACCAACTTTCAGTTAATATGCATTCAACAAATGTTGACTTAGTGCCCTCTATTGTAGAGCCCTATTGGAACAGCTTTCAGACACAGCAGTGAACAGAAGGGACAAAAACTCCTGCTTTCATTTATTAGAATTCTAGTGGGGAGAGAAAGACAAATAAAATATATAAACCATCAGATGGACGTAAGTGTGGAGAAACTGTTGCAGAATGGAGCTGTAATTTTTAACATAGGGTGATCCAAAAAGGTCTAAAGCAGGGGTCCCCAACCTCTGGGCCATGGACTGGTACTGGTCCATGACCTGCTAGGAACTGGGCCACACAGCAGGAGGTGAGTGGTGGGCAAGTGAGCAAAGCTTCACCTGTATTTACAGCTGCTCCCCATTGCTCGCATAACCGCTTGAGCTTCACCTCCTGTCAGATCAGCAGTGGCATTAAATTCTCATAGGAGCACGAACCCTACTGTGAACTCTACATGCAAGGAATCTAGGTTGCACACTCCTTATGAGAATCTAATGCCTGATGATCTTATGATCTGTCACTGTCTCCCAGAGGGGACCGTCTAGCTGCAGGAAAACAAGCTCAGGGCTCCCACTGAGTCTACATTATGGTGAGTTGTAGAATTATTTCATTATATATTACAATACAATAATAATAGAAATTAAGTACACCATAAATGTAATGTGCTTGAATCATCACCAAAGCATCCCCCAACCCCGGTCCATGGAAAAATTGTCTTCCATGAAACTGGTCCCTGGTGCCAAAAAGGTTGGGGACCATTGGCCTAAAGGATCAAATGACATTGAACAGAGATGTAAGGGAGGTAAGGAGGAGGTCACTGGCAGGGGCGGAGAGCTTCCTGGGCCAAGGCAACAGCCAGCACAATGGTGTGAGGTAGACTCATATTTAGCCTGTTCCAGAAACAGAATGGAGGCCAAAAGGTTTTGGAGCAGTCAGCATAGGGAGGCTTAGAAGATGATGCCCCTGCGTTGAGGTGTGACCCGTGAAGGGCCTTATAGGCCTTGGTAAGAACTAGGCTTCTACTCTGAGAGAAAAAGGAAGCTACCAGAGGTTCCCCAGTAGTGGAGTGACCTAATCCAACTCTGGTGCATGTGGAGACTCCACAGTAGGGGCAAGAACAAAATCAGCAGGACCGGTTTTTTAATAATCCAGTGGAGAGATGATATTGTTTGGGACCAGTGTGGTAGACACCAAGTTTGTGAGAAGGAGCCAAATTTGGATTATATTTTGAAGGTAGAACCAAAAGTGAGTAAACGGCAGAGCTAGGCCTAGACCCAGGTTTTCTGATGCTCACAGGTTTTTTCATGTGTTCTCTTTGGTACAACATGTTGTTGGATAATTTTTAAAGTTAAAGAGTATTCCTGAAAATTTAATTTGAGTCACAATTAAGGATCAGAGTTGCAATTTTTTTGTATGAAAATGAGGCACAGCTCACAATCACTATACCAAGAAAATATCTGTAATTGGAACAGCCCACATTTATCAGGTTGAACTATCTGAAGAAATAAAATTGTAATTACCTGAGCTTTTTGAGTTGCCTCACTGATCCTAGATTTAAAATATTAGTCTGAAATTGCATTACAGTTGTTACAAAGAATAATAGTCTCATGATAATAAAGATAAACCTGCATTGGTAATGAAAATCTGTCCATGTTAATCACCTGCAGTCCTAAGCTTATTTGAAAATGTAGTACTTTAGCTGGGCACGGTGGCTCACGCCTGTAATCCCAACACTTTGGGAGGCTGAGGCAGGCAGATCCCCTGAGGTCAGGAGTTTGAGATCAGCCTGGCCAACATGGCAAAACCCTGTCTCTACTAAAAATACAAAAACTAGCTTGGCGTGGTGGTGTGTGCATGTAATCCCAACTGCTCAGGAAGCTGAGGCAGGAGAATCACTTGAACCCAGGAGGCGGAGGCTGCAGTGAGCTGAGATCGCACCACTGCACTCCAGCCTGGGCAAGAGTGAGACTCCATCTCAAAAAAAAAAAAAAAGGAAGAAAATGTAGTACTTTAAAAATGACAGAGTTTTCAGATATCAAGCTTTATACACTGCATATCATTTCTCCATGGATAAGTCAGAAGCCAAATACATTGCTTTGTGTATAGACATAATATTTATATACAGTATAACTCAAGAAATTCATATCTTCACCCCCTTAATCTAATACAAAAGTTCAAACATTCAGCCTAGGCTCAGTGAGTAGTGTCGGGAAGAATGCATGCAGATGGGAAGCACTGGACAGTGAATTTCACCAGAGTACTGGAAATAGCATATGAGCTCATAATTGATTACTAACACTTCTCCCTTCTTTCCCAACTTCACCAGCCCACAAGTTCTTATCAATGAACATTTCATAAAATGTAAATATCCAATCAGTACATTTGTTTCACACAGGCATTAATTGTATTAGGAAATATTTTTTAAAACATTCAGAAAGTTAGAAAGAATAATACAATGAACACTAAGATGCCCTTCAGCTAGGTTGAACAATTAACACGTTGCCTTATATGTTCTATATATGTATGTAACTTTCCAATTATATTGCTGGACCCATTTTAAAGCATATTATTTACATCATATATTATTTTACCACTAAATATCTCAGCATGCAGCTGCAGAAAATAAGGATATTCTCCTGCATAACCACAATGCCATTATCATAACAAAACAATTCCCCTTTGACACCTAATATACAATCCTTCTTAAAATTTCAACAGTTGTCCCTATATCTTTTTTTTCCCCCTCAAAACTGAATCCAGTCAAGGTTCATGGTTTATATTTGGTTATGCTCTTAAATCTTTTAATCTGAAAGAGGATCTGTTTTTTCAATGACATTGACTTGCATTTAAGAGACCAGGTTATTTATGTTATACACAGATTTGCCTGATCATTTCTTCATGGTGATATTTAGCTTGTTTCTCTTTCCCCTATGTTTCCTATCAACTAGATGATAGAGCTAAAGCCTTAATTAGATTCAGGTTTAATGTTTTTGGCAGTAACACAGAGACAGCCAAATGCCTAGGCAGATAAAAAGGGGTCCCTGGAGAATCTCCGACATGCCCCATAAGTGTTTACATCGGATGCTTTTGTGCAGATGAGGGAACCTGCTCAGGGCCTTTTCTGCACATGCCCACATGTGCACTGGGGAAACGGGGTGGAGCCATGGGCAGGTGGGAGGAGCCTGGCCTCTTCAGATCCTGTGTGGTGGCCTGGGATTCAATCTGTGAGGTGGGGAGCTTGTTAGCAGGACTCCATCTCACTTTGCTGATATTTTTTTTTCCCTTTTCACCCAATAAAATCCTGCCCTACTCACCCTTCAATGTATTCGTGTGCCTAAATTTTCCTGGTCATGTGACAAGAACTAAGGAACAAAATTCTGCAACAATACTTCATAGGTAGTACACAGAGGAATGTCTACTTCATATTGTATCACATTTAGGAGGTGCATAATGTCCGAATGTTCCACTACTGGTGATGCAAAGTTGAGTAGTGTATTCATTATCTCTTATATAACAAATTATGCAAAAACATGTCTTTAAACCACCATAATTATTTAGTATTTTTCATGATTTCTGCAAGTTCTGAATTCGGACAAAGCATAGCTGGAACAGCTTGTCTTTGCTTCTTGATGTCTGGAATCTCAGCAAAATAACTTAAATGAAGGTTGGCAGCTAAAATCATCCGAAGGTTCATTTGCTCACATGACTGGCAGATAGTAATAGCAGTTATGTGAACTCTCCATTTGGCCTTGGCTTTCTCACAACGTGGTGGCAGGGTTCTAAGGGCAAGCGTCCCAAGAGAGAAAGTGAACCAGATGAAAGCCGTATTGTAAGAGCTAGCCTTAGAAATCATGCAGTGTCGCTTCTCCACTCTGTAGGTTGAAGCAGTTAAAGATAGCCCAGATTCAGACAGAGGGAAAAAAGAACCTGCCTCTTGATGGAGGAGTGTTGACATCACACTGAAAGAGCATATGGGAATGGGATATAGAATTCTCCCATCCATCTTTGGAATATGCAATCTGCCCCAAGTAGTGAAAGCCAAATCTCTCCATTTAAAGTTACCGCTCCCCTCTTCTGACTACCAAGTAAAGGCATGGTTTCCTACCAGTGTTTTACCTTATGATTTTAGCGTGCATTGATGACCCTTATGTAAATCAATTATTAGGAGTTACAAAAAAGTAATTTTCTAGTTTTACCATTCATTTGACATATATAGCTGGCCTCCTTCTGTAAAGAACAGTTTCCCTTATCCACTTGGGCTATTTGGTTATCCTGAAATATGATTCTAAAAGCAGGATAACTTTTACTTTAATTACCAATGTTCAGAGAAAGAAGTTGGTGTAGAAGAGTCCACCAATACTAGGAATTTGGGCTTTCTCTTTTTGGGGGGAATCATAAGGAATGCAAATATTTTTATATGTGTTTGAGTCAATTGGTATTATTTTATGTTTAAGTTTAAATTGCTCCTAATTTGGCTAGTGGGAATCAGGTTCTAGTCAGGAAAACAGAAACCACTCTAGGTATTTCAATGGCGGGGAGGGGTGTTGGAATTTAAAACTGTAAATTAGATACACAGGTGATGGAAGAGCAAAGAAGCCAAAGGATAGTTGTTGTAACCAAGCGAGTTATAGAGAAACGCTACACTTTGAGATTAATTTAGGAGTCTTTTATTAGCTGGCGACTGAGAGACGGCCAGCCCTCAAAATTCTCTCAGCCCCGAAGAAGGGGCTAGATTTTCTTTTATACTTTGGTTTAGAGGGGGGAGGGGAAGCCTAGCTGTAGCAATCTTACAGAAGTAAAACAGGCAAAAAAAGTTGAAAAGACAAATGGTTACAGGAAAACAAACAGTTCCAGGTGCAGGGGCTTTAAATCCATCACAAGGTAATAGGTGCGAGGGCTTTGGGTGCTATCTACCAGACACAAACGCGGGGGCTTAGGGTACTATCACCTGGGTGAATTTCTGGGAACTGTGGACATAACTTGCCACAGTACCTTATTGGTTAATTGCACTCTTTGATGTGCTGGGAGTCAGCTTGTACAAGTTAAGTCCTTGAGGAAGGGGGTGGGTAAGGAGCCCTTGATGTCTTGCAAATGAAGGAGCCAAATGGAGTCCGTCCAGCTTTCTCAGCTAAGGGAGGGTCTATTCATATTAAAACAAGGTAAGGTAATACATTCCCCACTTGTGTTTTTGGGGAATCAAATCATTGATTCCTCAGTTATAACAAGGGTGTTATATTGGGTTTTAAGATATATAAGCTTGACAGAAGCTATGCGTTGCTTTATAAAGTTAAGAAACCAATTTAATATACACAGCCTGAAGACTAAGCCTAACAGTAGGAGGAGAAGGGGGCTAGCTAGCCTAGTGATTAAAGTAGTCAGCCATGGATTCTAGTTAAACATACTTTGGTACCAAGGGGTGCTATTTTCCTATTTTTGCTGGCGTTTATCTAGATTTTTTGGATGGTGAACATAGTTTTAACATTAAATCTCGAGATATAAAGCCTTAATCTCTATGACAGGTCACAATACCATTGAGCTGAACCAGGGTTACAGACAGTTATAGTAAGAGGGTTACAATTTTTCATAGTACACAGTCTAGGATGGGAAGTGTGAGTTATGGAGAGGGTTGAGGACCAGGTGATCCTCTAGGGTAAGTGGCTAGGGTCACACAAAACCAGTGAGGGCAGAAAAATTGGTAAGAATCGTGACAACTAGAGTCAGGGTGATTTTTAGGACAGAGGTAAAAGTCAATGCTCTGGAGTCCTTTTTTTTTCACTTTTAGAGTTTTTACATCCAGTCCGGCTTCCTGTGTGTCCGAACCCTGTAGCAAGGTTGATGTTCCCCGCTTCTATGCGGCAGGTTGCATTGTTCTTCAAGGTTATGGGCAGGCTCTGGGAACAAAGCACATAAATCGACTGCAAAAGAGACTTTCTTGGAGGTTCTTGCCTTCCAAGTAGTGTTTGCAAATACACGTCCTGTCGTGAAAGAAGTGAGAAGAATAGGAAGGCACGGAGGGCATAACAGGTGGAAATAAACAAGAGAGATAAATAAAAAGAATTAATCTAAAGGCTTCACTCGACTTAGGCACAGTTTTAAGGGGCCTGGCCTATGCTTGGGGACCTATGTTTCTTGTTGGGCTCTGTTGGCCTTTTTGATGTGAGTGATGAATCTAAGCAGGAATGCTGGCCACTTCCAGAGCTGTCGGCATGGTGAGGATGACAGTATGAGGTCCTTTCTAAGCAGGAGTGAGTCCTTCTTTCTGGAACTTTTTTTTTTTTTTTAAACTTTAACCTGGAACTTTTTAACACCAGGTCACCCGGTGGGAACGAGTGGCAGGGCCCCGTCTGGTCAGGAACTGGACTGGGATGAGCTCCCCAGACAAGTGGCGGATGATATCTCGTACCTGTTGGAGAGACTGTAGGTACTGTAATAAATTAGCTTGTGAGATTTCTGCTAAACGGGTATCCTTTAGCTTAGGCAAGATAGGCGGAGCCCTCCTATATGTGATTTCAAAAGGTGAAAACCCAGCCCGGTAAGGAATGCATCTTACTTTAAGAAGGGTTAAAGGAAGGAGTCTTACCTAATTTTTACCGGTCTCTAAGATCAATTTTGTAAGAGTATTTTTTAGGGTGTGATTCATGTGTTCTACCCATCCAGAGCTCTGGGGTCGATAGGCACAACTGAGCTTCCATTGAATGTTTAATGCCTTACTGACTGACTGAGCTATGGACGAGGTGAAGGCCGATCTATTATCAGACCCCATGGCAGCAGGCAGCCCATGTTGAGGGATGATTTCATTGAGTGAAAACTTAACTACCGTGGTGGCAGTCTCGTTTTTGGTGGCAAATGCCTCAGTCTATCCAGAAAAGGTGTCTACTAGTACCTGAAGGTATTTGTACCCTGCCCAGTGTGGTTTTATTTCTGTAATTTCCCACCTTTCTCCTGGTGAGTCTCCCTGGAGGCGGTCGCCTGAGCTGGGTTTAGGACCTTGCTTAGTGTTTACCTGGGCACAAGCCGTACACCAGAGAGCTGCTTGGTTAACTAAGTCCTGAAGGTTGGGGATCTTGAAACGGCTCCTTAGAAGCTGGGCCAGTTTTACTCCTCCTTCCTGATTTTTACTGGCCTGAAGATCCGAAGCCTGTTTTTCCTCCTCTGGGGAATATTCTGGGTGATCTGACAAGTCAGGTTGCGGAAAGGACACTGCAGGCAGCAGGGTCGGAGGCGCGACTGGCAGTTGAGCTGGCCCCCAGGCTGCAGAGTCTGCTCTTTGGTTACCATGGGCAACGGCCGTGTCTTCTTTTTGATGTCCTTTGCAGTGAATTACAGCCACCTGTTGAGGTAGGCAAACAGCTTCAAGCAGGGCCAAAATTTCTTCTTAGTTTTTGATAGCCTTTCCTGCTGAGGTGAGTAGCCCACGCACTTGGTAGATGGCTCCATGTACACGCACAGTAGCAAAAAGCATACCTGCTGTCAGTGTAAATGTTAATACATTTGTCCTTACCCGTCGGAGGGCCTGAATGAGAGCAACCAATTCAGCTTTTTGTGCTGAGGTACCTGCTGGCAATGCCTGAGTCTGCAGTTTATCCGTCTCCATAGTAACAGCCGCACCAGCCTTTCGTACTCCTTGTTTAAGGAGGCTGCTACTGTCTGTAAACACGGTAGCATCCACCTCCTTTAAAGGCACATCTTGGAGATCAGGTCGGACAGTTTCTGTAGTCTCTCACAGTTCCTGGCAGTCATGGACAGGTGTGGTGAAGTCTGGATCAGGGAGCAAAGTAGCTGGATTTAAACACCTTGTGGGAGAGAAAGTTAAACGAGGCCAATCTAACAGTAAAACTCTGATACTGCAGGATGCGAGCATTTGACATCCATTTGCCAGAAGCACTTTGCAGCAAAGTCTCTATGGCACGAGGAGCCGTAAGAGTTAAATTTTGACTTAGAGTCAGTTTATCAGTCTCCTGAATCAGGCTTGCTGTGGCTGCTATGGCCCACAGACAACTTGTCCACCTGGAGGCCACTGGGTCCAGTCTTTTAGACAAATAGATGCCTGGGCATCACCATGGCCCTCCGCTGTGACGGTCTCCATGGGCTTCCGGGGGCCAAGAGAGAGGGAGCCCCGGCCCTTTTAATCATCAGATTCCTCTGCTGCGGGGAGATTGAGGACCTTTGTGGGGAAAATAGAGAGAGATCAGACTGTTACTCTATGTAGAAAGAAGTAGACATAAGAAACTCCATTTTGTTCTGTACTAAGAGAAATTCTTCTGCCTTGAGATGCTGTTAATCTGTAACCCTAGCCCCAACCCTGTGCTTGCAGAGACATGTGCTATGTTGACTCAAGGTTTAATGGATTTAGGGCTGTGCAGGATGTGCTTTGTTGAAAATGTGTTTGAAGGCAGTATGCTTGGTAAGTCATTGCCATTCTCTAATCTCGAGTACCCAGGGACACAATGCATTGCAGAAGGCCACAGGGACCTCTGCCCAGGAAAGCCATGTATTGTCCAAGCTTTCTCCCCATGTGACAGCCTGAGATATGGCCTCGTGGGAAGGGAAAGACCTGACCGTCCCCCAGCACAACACCCGTAAAGGGTCTGTGCTGAGGAGGATTAGTGAAAGAGGAAGAAGCCCTCTTTGCAATTAAGAGGAAGGCATCCGTCTCCTGCTCGTCCCTGGGAATGGAATGTCTCAGTGTAAAACAAAATCATACGTTCTATTTACTGAGATAGGAAAAAACTGTCTTATGGCTGGAGGTGAAACATGCTGGCGGCAATACTGCTCTTTAATGCACCGAGATGTTTGTGTAAAGTCAAACATAAATCTGGCCTACGTCCTCATCAAGGCACAGCACCTTTCCTCAAACTTATTTATGACACAGAGATCTTTGCTCACATGTTTTCCTGCTGACCCTCTCCCCACCATTACCCTATAGTCCTGCCACATCCCCCTCTCCGAGATGGTAGAGATAGTGATCAATAAATACTGATGGAACTCAGAGACCAGGGCCGGCGCAGGTCCTCTGTATGCTAAGCGCTGGTCCCCTGGGCCCACAGTTCTTTCTCTATACTTTGTCTCTGTGTCTTCTTTTCTCACTCTTTTGACCCACCTGATGAGAAACACCCACAGGTGTGGAGGGGCTGGCCCCCTTCAGACCTTTTTCTTTTCTGGTTTCTCCTCTGGCTTTAATGGGCATTATTTTTCCCTCTGGTTTAAATGGGCATTCTTTTTTCCAGTGTCCTATCTGCTTGCAATAAGTGCATTGGTTTTTCTGTAGGGAAGCCTACTCACTTTTCTGGCCTTTCTGTTGTGGAACCGGGGTCCCCTGGCTAGTGTTCTGTGATGGGGGCCCCTCCTTTCTGGCTTCCCGGATGGCGACCACTAAGATTTTCGGTTGTCTTTTGGATGTTTCATCAGCAGCCTTTTCAGCTGCCTGTTTTTGTTTCTCGAACTCTTGACTGTCAAAAATTCTCTGGGCTACTTCTAAAAGCTGGCTAATGTTCATTCCAGCAAATCCTTCCAGTTTTTGTAATTTTTTTCTAATATCAGAGGCGCCTGAGCCACAAATGCCAAATTAATAACACGGCTCTTCTCGGGAGCCGCTGGGTCAAAAGGGGTGTAAGTCCGATAGGCCTCCTGGAGGCATTCTAAAAATGCTCCAGGTTACTCACCAGGCCCCTGGACAACTTCAGTTGTCCTAGACAGATTCATGGTTTTCGAGCGGCTCCCTTGATACCCGCAAGGAGATAACGGTGAAAATTATCCAAAGCTCTCTTCCCACCTGAGGAGTTCAGATCTCAATCAGGCCGGGTAGAGGGAAAAACCTCCTCAAGGAGGTTTTGGGCTTCCCCCTCCGGTCTACCGGCTAATGTAAGGAAATACTTTCTGGCTTCTCTTCGGATACGATCCCTCTCTTCAGAGGTGAAGAGGGTTAAAAGGAGTTGTTGACAGTCATCCCAGGTGGGCTGATGGGTCCAGAGCACCGACTCCATCAGTGAGGTCAAGACCTGGGGCTTTTCAGAAAAGGAGGGATTATGAGCCTTCCGTTGCACAGGTCAGAAGTAGAAAAGGGGACATAAACCAAGAATGGAGCTGAGCACTCATCACCCGCAGGGACTTGTGCCTCTCTCAGCAGGAGGAGGGGGGCTACCTCCTCCTGCTGTGGCCTCAATCAGGAGGCAATAGGCAGAGAGCCCACAGGGGATGTAGTCGAGGAGACAAGGGAAGATTCTAAGGGAGCAGGAGGGTTATAAGGCGGCAGAACTGGGTGAGGGAGACTTTCCTCTTCTTCAGAAGGAGGCAATACAGGAGGAGCCGAGCCGGCTGAGGGTCGAGGCGAAAGTGAGGTCTGGCTCAAAATGACCTTGGAGGTAGGATTAGGAATGGCGCATGAGTGGAGCCATGGATGAGAGCTCCGGACCAAACTCAGCCATTGATCAATGTAGGGAAACTGATCAGGGTGACCAGGAGTTCCAGCAACAACCCGCCACACAGCCTGAACAATTGCGAGGTTCAGTGACCCGGCTCCAAACTTTGGCCATTCTACTCCACAGAGTGTCCAGAGTTTGCCTTTTTTAAGGCGGACCCCATAATCCTCGGAGAAGCCTAGAGAGAAATTTTGTAACATACATTGGAGAGGGCTCCAATCTTTATGAGACTGGGAAGAAGAGTTTCCCATTCTGGAGGCAGTTTAACAAAGTTTGAGCAGAGATATTAAACCCAGCATGGACAGAGAAATTCATGACCTGGAGGGGCTGGAGTATCGGAAGAATAGAAGCATCATAACCAAAAGAAGTAGGAAAACAGCTATAGCCAGCGCTTCTTGCCACATAAGGTCTGTTTCCTTAAGCTCCAAGATTTAGGGAGAGGACAAGAGATGGGTGCGAGGCTAGTGGGACCTACGTGATCCCCCTCTCCTCTCTGACTTATAGTCTAAATATTTTTGGCGTCTCCACGACTTGAAGGCAAAAAGTTCAAACTTTGCCCTTTCTTTTAAGGATTTTAGGAGGGAGAGCGGAGCCAAGTCTTGGAGGCGCTGGACTTGCTGTGGCACAGGAAAACGGGATGTGCGGGGTAAGGGATGGGGATGAGGAGGAAAGGGGCCACTCAGATCTTTTCAGGCTGGGAGGAGCCCTGCTGAGCAGCACGGGGTTGCCAGGATGACTCCGCGGTACCCCGCCCCGCCTCCAGGCCCTGTCAGGCACTGCAAGCCCAGCTCAGAAGTCTGGCCCGGGGCCAAGGTCACCACAGCAGGCCGGGCCTCTGCGTTCTAAGCCAGGTGCAGATACGCTGGTGCTCGGGGAAGTCGGGGGCTTTGACGCCTGAAGGCGCAGGAGCCGGGAGCCTGCAGGGGTCTCTGGGGAAGGGGGTCCCCTCCCACTCCTCGCCTTCGGGTCTGGGAGCCCCTGCCAAGGAGGAGCGCCTGGCTCCTGGGCCCGGCAACCCGAAGAGACACACCTGAGACCTCCTGTGTTAGAAATCTGCACTCAGGACTTTGAAGTCCTTGCCCAGTTGTCTTGGGCAATATCGACGACCTGACATACGAAAGTTAGACACAAGACAGGACCGTAGACACTAAACAGGACAATAGACACTGGGGTATATAAACAATTATGACAATTTTTATAGACAGACAAGGGGAGGGGGTCCCATGATGGAATCAGTCAGATGCCCGCCTGGCTGTTCCCGAGGGGACTTAGGCTCCTCTTAGCATTGGCAGGCGGTATAAACCCCCGGCTCGGATCGAGCTATGCCCGATGCTGCCTTAAGCCTTATGAGGTCACCACGGAACTGCAGGTGAGGGCCCACTCGAACTCCGTAGCTTTCGCCCTGGAGGTACAAACTGGAAATTCAAGCGCAAGCCCTTGAACTCCACATTCACGCACTCATTCACACAGTTTACAACAGTTTTCTTATTCCCGTTCTATAACAGAGGTCTCCGGGAGACCTGAACGAGAGAAGCAGAAGAGATAAAGAAAGAGGGAGGGAGAGAGAGACTAATCTTAACAGAGAGGCCGGGCTGCCAGAAACCGGGACTCTGTCCTTCAGCATCCTGCAACGCAGGCAGAGTCAAGGGAGGGCCCTTGTCAGGGCCGCTTCCCTCCCAGAGAAACAGAGTCAGATCTGACTTACCTTCCCGGGACCAGAAACTGAGGATCAGGAGTTGAATTTTTGTGGGCACACACTGGTGGTCGATCCATTCCCCTCCGGAAGACGGGGTCTTATGGGGCCCTGGAATGTCTTCAGGTGGCACCTCCCCTATAAGTCCGCCGTCTGTCCGGGGGAGCCTGGAATGAGTCCAGCTCTCACCCAGAGGTGAATATCTCGTTGGGGCCTCCAAATGTTGTAACCAAGCGAGTTATGGAGAAACGCTACACTTTGAGATTAATTCAGGAGTCCTTTATTAGCTGGCGACCGAGAGATGGCTAGCCCTCAAAATTCTCTCGGCCCCGAAGGGGCTAGATTTTCTTTTATACTTTGGTTTAGAGAGGGGAGGGGAAGCCTAGCTGTAGCAATCTTACAGAAGTAAAACAGGCAAAAAAAGTTAAAAAGACAAATGGTTACAGGAAAACAAACAGTTCCAGGTGCAGGGGCTTTAAATCCATCACAAGGTGATAGGTGCGAGGGCTTTGGCTGCTATCTACCAGACACAAACGCGGGGGCTTAGGGTACTATCACTTGGGCGAATTTCTGGGAACTGTGGACATAGCTTGCCACAGTACCTTATTGGCTAATTGCACTCTTTGATGTGCTGGGAGTCAGCTTGCACGAGTCCTTGAGGAAGGGGGTGGGTAAGGAGCCCTTGATGTCTTGCAAATGAAGGAGCCAAATGGAGTCTGTCTGGCTTTCTCAGCTAAGGGAGAGTCTGTTCATATTAAAACAAGGTAAGGTATCACATAGTGAAGTGACTAAGAGGGTACAGCAAGACACTACTACTATACTAATGTGGCAGGCCGGGTCTCACTAACGCAGGCCTCCATAACAACTATTTCAGCACTGACTGAGTGGCTACATTAAATATTAAAAGCTGAAAGAGCCGGTACCCCAAAACAAGGCTAGAATGTAACAAAAGCCCACCAAGAGTTTTGCCCAGGCTTTTCCTGTACCTTAAAGCATGATTAAACAGGTTTTATTGTGAGTCTAAAGAAACTCCCCAGGCCTCCACAAACGAGTTTATTGGGGGTCTGAAGAAACTCCCCAAACCGCCAAGATTTAGCAGGAGACAAGATAAGGGTAATTACCCCAGCACCTGGACCCATTTAGATTAAGCAAATTTACTGAGGCTCCAGAGGAAGGTCTTCAAGACTCAGACCTTAGGTATAGATTAAAAGAAGTTAATCACTTAGGTCTTTAGATGAATGCACACTTACATATAGACATATAGCTTAGAAGGTATATAAGCTCTGGAAAACTTCGTAATTTTGAGTTTGTCTGGTGATAATTTCTAGGCCTTCTCCCTGTAAGTGGTTGCAGAAATAAAAACTCCCTTCCTCCCCAGTCCATCTGCATCTCGTTATTGGGCCACGAGAAATAGGAGCCCGGCCCTCAGTGTGGTCTGGGAACACTAAGACAGAAGGGATTATGGGAGAAAGTGGTATCACTAGAGGCTATTTGCCAGGCCATCCAGATAAAGCTACTATAGTTTCAACCTACAGAGTGGAGAATTACACTGCATGGTTTCCCATTGCCCAGTGGGAAATGGAACCACAAAAAGAGGGCTGGTTGGAGTAGTCAGTGCCACACAGGAGACACAGCCTGCCAAGGATACCAACCCAAAGCAAAGCGAGACAGGATGAAATTTCTGGCTTCTCCCCCTCTCCAACATGCCAATCTTCCACTAGCACTTCCTATTGGCTAAACCCAGTCAGAAGCCATTTGGTAAGGGAGACTGAAAAACTAGTTCCTTGCAAATCACAGCAGAGAAATAGGTGGCTGATGATACCAGTTCCTGATGCTACTCCCTACCCCGCATCCATGGCTCCTGCTCCATAGACAGGATCTGGATGGGGCAGCTGGTGAAAAACTGTTCCTCCTTTTCCCCCAGCTCCTACTCCATACTACAGAGGTTCAGTCCACAGGGGGTGGAAGCAAGTCTCAAAGACTAGCAATACCCTGCCCCTGCGAAGGGGCTTGACTGCAACTGAATCAGACTGTAGAGCAATTTAAGCCCCAGGGCACTGTCAAGAACAACAGACCAATCACCTAGCAATTAATGGAGGCTAACAGCCATGTGAGATACCAACAGAGGCAGACCTGCTAGAAGCTCAATGGGAAGATCAGGAAAGAAGATAGTCAAATCATTGAACTAGCTCAGCCAAATCACTGCAGCTGTTATACATGTGTTCAAAGATCTAAAGGGAACCATGTTTAAAGGAAGCCTAATGACAATGTCTCATCAAATATAGAATATCAATACAAAGATAGAAATTGTAAGAAAGAACCAAATGAAAATTCTGGAATTTAAAAGCACAAAAACAGGAACCAAAGAAAGAATCGGCAAACTTGAAGATAGATCAATAGAGATCATATATTTGAAGAATACAGAGAAAGAACAGAAATAATAGGAGGGAAAATAAAGACAAATGAGCAGAGCTTCAGAGAAAAGTGGGGCACCATTAAGTGCACCAACATATTTGTAATGCAAGTACAGGAGTGGAAAGAAAGTGTAACACCAAAAGGTTCTTGCCTTAGCCACGCCAAAGAATTGGTGTGGTGGCAGCCTGCGGCAAGAGAGAGACACGGATCGGACCGAGAGAAAAAAAAAAGCTGTAGGCTTTATTGAGCAGTGACAGTATAAAGCTTCCACAGCGTGGAAGGGGTCCCAAGCGGGTAGCCAGTGTTAGATTTTTCGATCACCTTTTAAACTCTTCAGGCGGGAAATACGTGCCGCAGGAAGATGTTACCAGAGCGAGAAACAAAGACAACACGTCTCAGATCTTGAGGAAAACTGGAATTGTAACTTAAGTTTTATCTACTTTATGACCTTGCAGCGACATGGCAAAAGAGACAGGATCTCACGGGAGTTTACAAATTGTGTTTAAAAGGAATTGGAATTGGGAGCATAGATACGGTCTGCCTCTGTGGGTCACAGAAAAACAGGCTTTTAACATTCCTTTTAGTTTCAGGGGAGGGGGAAGGGAGAGAGGGAGAGAGGACACAGGGAAGCTTACATCAAAATTTTCGCTGTTTATAGCTTTCTTGGGGAAGAAAACACAGGCACAAATTCTGATATTAGGAATATTTTAAGCATATATCTTCAGTATTATTCATCCAGGACCAAAGTAAGTCCTGATGCAGGAAATGAGTGAGTTTCACAGCTTTCTGAGCCCCAAGTCGACCCAGGAAGCCCAACTGGCACCTCCTCTGAAAAGGAGCACGCGCACACACACACAAATTAAAAGAAATAGCTGAAAACTTCCAAAATTTAATTAAAAACCATAAATTCGTGTATCAAGAAGCTCAGAGAACTCCAAGTAGGACAAATACAAGACCATCAACATCCAAATACATCATAATCAAAATGTAGAAAGACAAAAAAATCTTTTCTCCCTAAGTTGTGGCAGGCCAGGTCTCACTAATGCAGGCCTCCATAATAACTGTTTCAGTACTGAGTGGTTAAGTTGAATATTAAAAGCTAGTGCTCTTATACAAAGGCTGGGATGTAACAAAAGCCCACCAAGAGTTTTGCCTTGGCCTTTCCTGGGCCTTAAAGCATGACAAAATAACGAAGCAATTCTTAATAGGACACATTTAGGATTAAATAAGTTTTACTGTGGGTCTGAAGAAACTCCCCTGGCCTCCACAAACAAGTTTATTGGGGGTGTGAAGGAACTCCCCAAACCTCTAATTTAGCAGGAGACAAGATAAGGGTAATTACCCCAGCACCTGGACCCATTTAGATTAAGTAAATTTACTGAGGCTCCAGAGGAAGGTCCTTAGGACTCAGACCTTCTGGGAACATAGTGACTATTCATGAAGTGATTGCTACCATCTTTTCTTTCAGGAAATCTCTACCTCAACAGCAGGTTTGAGCCCTCTCCTTCCCTCTAAGCAGCGGCCTCCCTTGCACAGCCCCTGAGGCAAGAAACCCCGTCTTATCCCTTCCATATCAGCTTACACCCAGGGGACCCTTGCCCAACAGGCAGTCTTCCTGGAGGAGGTTGGCAGTATGTTTAAACCAGTCCACAGGATCCATAGCAAGGCGCTTTAAGCAGAGAAGTCCATGTGCTGTTCAGACATCTGGCAGGAACTTGCCCTGCCAAAGGGATGCAGACTGTCCTTTTTTTTTTTTTTTTTTCTTTTGAGGCAGAGTTTCGTTCTTGTCTCCCAGGCTGGAGTGCAATGGTGCAATCTCTGCTCATTGCAACCTCTGCCTCCCAGGTTCAAGTGATTCTCCTGCCTCAGCCTCCCGAGTAGCTGGGATTACAGGCATGCGCCACCACGCCCGGCTAATTTTTTGTATTTTTTTTTAGTAGAGACGGGGTTTCTCCATGTTGGTCAGGCTGGTCTCGAACTCCCAACCTCAGGTGATCCGCCCACCTTGGCCTCCCAAAGTGCTGGGATTACAGGCGTGAGCCACCCCGCCCGGCCCAGACTGTCCTTGTACTAGCTCCCCTCTCTCCTCTCCTCTGTATCACACTGTAGTGTCACTGTCACTGGGCACTGTATCAAGCTTGATGGCTGAAGAGGCATCGTGTTAATGGTGGAGGGTGTCCAGGTTCTTGGCATCTTGAACAAAGAATTGGACAAAATGCACAAAGCAAGGAAGGAATAGTTTTATTGAAAATGAAAGTACACTCCACAGTGTGGGAGCAGGTCTGAGCATAGGGACTCAAAGGCCCCGTAACAGAATTCTGGGGAGTTTACATACCCTCTACTTGGGGTATGCCCTATGTAAATGAAGAGGATGAAGTGATAAAATCATTTACTTGGCCTACGCCCTATGGAGAGGATATTTCCTGTCATAGCTGAAGTGTGAATCAGCCTTATGTTCCTTGCCTCCAGACCCTATTTTCCTGCCTCAATTGGGCTGGTTTTTAGGATATCCATCTCCCTTTAATTGCACTCTCAAGTTTCACCAGTACTTCTCTCACCTCCTACCCCCAAGTGGAGTCAGCAAGGGCAACCAGGTGACTGCCGTGATTATCTTGTTACAGAAGATAAGAAGACTGTGGTTCTAAGAGATTAACTAACTGAAGCTTGTACTGCGTGTCAGTAGCATAACCAGGATTTGAACTCTGGTTAGCCTTCTCACCCCAAAGTCCATTACACTGCCTCAATAAATGTCTTTTACATACATATATTTACTAATAAGATTGTGTAATGACATTTCATTAATAAAAACGAGTGGGGTTTCAAAACAGATTGCTTTATGTCAGGTTGCTTTACGTCATAAAGCAAAACAGATTGCTTTATGTTTCCAAAACATATTTCATGGAGCATTAGTATGCCCAGAGATATGAATACGTATTCCTCAGAAATAACGAAAGAGGTAATGGAAGTAACTCTCCACAAGTAGAATGTGTGCTCCACTACACAGCCTGTCTCTGTTGGAGATTTAGAAAATAAATGGGTAAGATGAAGGACTTCAGAAGTCATGAAATAATAAAATCTGCTTATCTTTACTTAACTAAGCACATCTCACACTCTTATAACCACAGAATCCTTATTAAAACCATCTATGGGCTGGGTGCAGTGGCTCACGCCTATAATCCCGACACTTTGGGAGGCCGAGGGTGATTGCTTTAGCCCGGGAGTTCAAGACTAGCCTGGGCAACATAGCAAGACTCTGTCTCTACAAAAAATACAAAATAAAAAAAAAAGCCAGGCATGGTGGCATGCACCTGTTTGGGAGGCTGATGTGAGAGGATGGCTTCAACCTGGGAGGTGGAGGCAGTGAACCAATATCACACCACTGTACTCCAGCCTGGACATCAGAGTGAGATTCTGGCAAGAAGAAGAAGATAAAGACAAAGAAGAAGACAAAGACGAAGAAGAAGAAGGAGGAGGAGGAGGAGAAGGGGAAGAAGGAGGAAGAGGAGAGGGAGAAGGAAAAGGAAGAGAAGGAGGAGGAGAAGAAAGAGAAGGAGGAAAAGGAGGAGAAGAAGAGAAAAAGAAAAATTGTATTAGTCTGTTCTCACACTGCTAATAAAGACATACCCAAGAATAGGTAATTTATAAAGGAAAGAGGTTTAATGGACTCACAGTTCCTCATGGCTGGGGAGACCTCACAATCATGGCGGAAGGCAAATGAGGAGCCAAGTCATGTCTTACATGGCAGCAGGCAAGAGAGCTTGTGCAGGGGAAGTCCCATTTATAAAACTATCAGATCGCGTGAGACTCATTAATTACACCATGAGAACAGCATGGGGAAAACCACCCCCGTGATTCAATTATCTCCACCTGGCCCTGCCCTTGACACATAGGGATTATTACAATTCAAGGTGAGATTTGGGTAGGGGCACAGCCAAACCATATCAAAAATCAAACAATACTTAAAATAAAGAATAATGCCATTATTTTCACTTAAGTTGAGGCATGAAAAATTAAACATGCCTGTATTTAAATTAAGGAAAACAAAAGGATAACAGTAAATATGCAGCGTCTGTGTGTTCATCACAGTGATGGTGTTAACCAGGCCACAGGCTTGGTGAGACACATTTTTTCTCTGCTACAGGGACAAGCCTGCCAAGCAGATGGCACAGACATAGACAGACCAGTCTCCCCAGGTGCCTGAGAGAAACATGGCTAAGTTCTTACAATCCCATTACCCATTTTTCTTGACTATTATCAACCTACCCACACATTATTTTATCATGTTTTTCACCAACAAGGGAAAAGCCTGTTTTCTTCTATACTACATTCACATAATATTTCTGACACCAAATGTGTGGAGTTTTTTTCCCCATCCCAACCAATTTTCCAATTCTCTAGACACCAACAGAGTATCCTATATTTAATTGAATTCTGACACTAAATACCTAGAGTTGATGCAGACCCCACAGATTTAAGGGCTCAGTCCCATAAAACCATCCCCAACTTCAAACACCAGTCACAACTAGCAGGTCCCCAGGTTGCCCATACTTCTGTCCAACATGGCTACACATGGGGGTTCCCACAACCCCCTCCTCAGGTTTGATAATTTGATACGGCAATACAGAACTCAGGGAAATGCTTTACTTGTGTTTAACAGTTTATTTTAAGGCTACTACAAAGGATACAGATGAACAACAGCCACATGAAGGGGTACCTGGGGCAAGGTCCAGAAGCATCCTGAGCACAGGACTTGCTGACTTCATAAAGCTGGAGTGCGTCACCTTCCTGGCACATCAAAATGTTTGCCAACCCTGAAGCTCCCTGAACTCCATAGTTAACGGATTATGTCTTGTTGACATAGGCCTGATGGATTATTGACACAAATCTCCAGCCCCTCTCCCCTCTCTGGAGGTGGGAGACTGAAAGTTTGAAACTTCCAATCATGATGTGGTCTTTGTGAGCAGCCCCCATCCTGAGTTATCCAGGTGCCCATCAAGAGTGACCTCATTAGAACAAAAAATTCTCCTATCACTGGGAAATTTAAAGGAATTTAGGAGCTTTGTGTCAGGAACTGGGGTCAAAGACCAAATACTAGAACAAAAGATGTACTCCATCACTTTGGAAATTACAAGGGTTTTAGGAGCTCTGAACAAGGAACTAGATAGGAAGATCAAATATATATTTCTTATTATATCACATTATCACATCAACTCAATGTACATTTATTACA
Source organism: Homo sapiens (assembly GCF_000001405.40). Classification (NCBI taxonomy): domain Eukaryota; kingdom Metazoa; phylum Chordata; class Mammalia; order Primates; family Hominidae; genus Homo; species Homo sapiens. Next base: position 101,389 of record NW_003315956.1, on the reverse strand, counting down.
CTTTCATTACAGGTTGAAGTTTACAGACTGGTGTACACTAAATGCATTTCAGGTAAGCTGCTCCCTAAGGACCTATACGAAAGCCCAATAATCAGATGATAAACTGTCTCCAAATCCAGCTTCCAGGAAGTTTACCTATAGACTGAAATGCCATCGATGGAATTTAGACACTAGTGATCTTTAAGTCCAAAGGGCCTGGGTATCCTAACCTCATCAGCTTGATCTTTTTCTTCCAATATCACATCTGTACCCAGTCTTTTTTTCTTTTTTTCTGAGATGGAGTCTCGCTCTGTTGCCCAGACTGGAGTGCAGTGGCACGATCTCGGCTCACTGCAACCTCCACCTCCTAGGTTCAAGCAATTCTCCTGAGTAGCTGGGACTACAGGCGCATGCCGATCTGTACCCAATCTTATTAGGGTCTGCAGCATTGTTCACTCAACACAAAAACTGGACATGAGCATTTTTTAGTTCCATTATGTGCCTAGTACAGAGGCGTATTCAGCAGGTAGTTAAATATTTGGTGAGAGGAGGTGAATCTTGAAAATATATAAGTTGGCCGGGCGCGGTGGCTCACGCCTGTAATCCCAGCACTTTGGGAGGCCGAGGTGGGCGGATCATGAGGTCAGGAGATCGAGACCATCCTGGCTAACACGGTGAAACCCCATCTCTACTAAAAATACAAAAAATTAGCTGGGCGTGGTGGCAGGTGCCTGTAGTCCCAGCTACTCAGGAGGCTGAGGCAGGAGGATGGCGTGAACCTGGGAGGCAGAGTTTGCAGTGAGCCGAGATAGCGCCGCTGCAGTCCGGCCTGGGTGAAAGAGCGAGACTGTCTCAAAAAAAAAAAAAAAGAAAAAGAAAAAAACAAGAAATAAGCTTTATCCAAAAAAGTTTTATTTTTATAAGAAACAAGAATAGGTCAGGTGTGGTGGCTCAAGCCTGTAATCCCAGCACTTTGGGAGGCTGAGGAGGGTGGATTGTTTGAGCTCAGGAGCTCAAGACCAGCCTAGGCAACATGGTGAAACCCCATCTCTCCAAAAAATACAAAAATTAGCCAGGCATGGTGGCGCACGCTTGTAGTCCCAGCCATTCAGGGGGCTGAGGTGGGAGGATCACTTGAGCCTGGGAGGTTGAGGCTGCAGTGAGCCATGTTTGCGCCACTGCACTCTAGCCTGCGTGACAAAGCAAGCCCCTGGGTGACAAAGCAAGATCCTGTCTCAAAAAAAAAAAAAAGGAAACAAAAAAGATTAAAAGTTAAAAAAATTATATATAAGAAAATTATAGAAATAGCCTCTATACTCTATACCCTGTTGGTATGTTCAAAAGTTCACAAGGGACTCAGGTTATAACATAACGAGTAAGTCCTCCCCCTCGGACCTCTGATAGCCTCCGGCAGTGTCGTAAAATATTCAGTAACACGTGAAACTTCTTGTCAGCTTTCAAAGTTGTGAACTCCTTTATGTCAGCTTCCACTATAAAATAACGACCTAAAAATAAAGATATTAGTGCTAATTTTTATAAGGCCAACTTGCAAAAGAGTCTTTAATACATTAAGTTGTGAATATGAATGGTATTAGTCGTTTTTACTGTTAGTATCCAATAAAACCAAGAACTAGTATTCTTGCTAAAATAATAATTATTCTATCAACAGAAGTTGCATGCATGATATTTATTAGGTCACTAGCTATCTGTTGGTATCGCTTGAACAATTCACTTTTCAAGAGGCAATGTGACATAGTGGTTATAAGAATAAAACCCGTAACAGTGTTATCATTTAACTGGATGACCTTGGACAAGTAAGTTAAGCTCTCTTTGCCTAGTCTACAAATTGGGAGTAATAACAGTAAGTGATACGGGTGTTGTAAGGATTGAAGCTCTTGGCACACTCTCTGCCATACAGTAAGTAGCTATATCAACAGGACTAGCTATTATCATTACTATTCAATTTCCTAAAACATTGGGCATAGTTTCACAATAGACTCTAAAGCAATGTTTCTCAGGCTCAGCACTACAGACACTGTGAGCCAGAGAATTTATTTTGTGGGTGCTATCCTGTGCACTGCCGGCTGTTATAGCAGCATCCCTGGCCTCTACCTACTAGATGCCAGGAGCACCCAGCTGTAACAACCAAAAATGTCTCCAGACATGGTAAAATGTCTCCTGGTAGGATAACTGCTCCTGGTTGGGAATTAACACTCTAGATTTAGAATTTTCTAGAACTAGCTACATTTCTCGTGATTTAGTTATACTCTGAACAGTTCACATGTACACACATATATGCTGCCATTTTACCTTTGGTATCCTTCGTTTCTTCATCAATAAATCTGTGATAGAGATTTCTGGTCACAGAATTCATAGACTTTTTTGGCTGATGTAGGATTTTATATTTACTAATTACTGCCTTGTTGATTTCTTTAATAACATCATTAATTTGATTATAGGTTAAGCGGGATTTCATGTACCTGTAAAAAAGTATATGGCTAATTATTGTTTTAAAGAATCATCATACAAAATTACTTTCCTTGAAAAACATAAGTATGATGACTTTGTACAACAGTAAAACTACAGTACCCTTTATAAAAACAATCTTATATCAACTTCCAAATAAACCAGACAGCTGAATAATTAAATAGAGATGACAACATATTGGTGCTTACCTTCTCTAATTATTAACCTCTATTGTTTACCTATGGAGAACTGATATTATAATTTTAAATAAGCTCTCAAATTCTGATTCAAATGGACTGATTAACTGCAACATATCAGTTTATTTAAACAGTTTTAAATGTGAGCAAAGGAAAAACTTAAATATTAATAAATTATACAACTTATAGCACTCTAGTGCTATACAAAAACTATTACTTGTTCAGAGAAAGAAAGAGAAAAAAAGGAGGAGGAGGAAGGGAAGATGAAGGGCAACAAAGAAGACCACAACAAAGTTGACAATGAAAATTAAGACAAAGGAGAACTGATGGGGTAGGGGATATATAGGAGTGAGTGACTGGAAGCTGCCTGGGCAGAGGAGAACCAAAGCATAGCCATGATGTTTTCTATGCCCTAGCTCAAGTTCCCTTAGAGCACTCTCTTTCACTCTGAATTCTACTCTTCAACCTCCCTCTTGTCCGTCCTCCCAGTCACCATGGAGTCTTACAATATAAAAACAGGAGACTCTCAATTTTGAATGTTTTGAACACACCAAAAACAAAACTTGATGATCTGCTTCAATTTGTCTCTTCAACAAATTGTAAGTTCAGTAGGTTAAGCTCTGTCCTTCATTTCTATTCAAAGTAGCAGCTTTCTAGTCAAAACTTCCTTGATACAATGATATGGAAGTTTATTTAAAAGAAAATGTTCATATTTCCAAAAAAACACTCATTTTCATTATTCCTCTCTTTTCTAAATTCATTTTTGCTGTCCTGTTTTTTCTAACCACAATTTCTACAAACTCTTATACCCCAGCTCTCCACAATGCACTTATGTATTCCTTCAAATCTTCTCAACTACCACCTTGATTTCCTCAATAGTCATCCCTAATCTCCTTCAATGTTTTCCACTTTAACTCTACTCTCAGCACCATTTGTTTTAAAGTAAATAAAAACTCTATGCTTGGAAAACATGATTTTTTCACCCTAATCTTCTAACTTCATTTCTCATTCATTAAATAACCCCTAGTTGAAAAATGAATACTCTACCATGACCATTCTAATTTCCTTCCAATAGCTCTTTATGGAAGCATTTTCCAAAAATCCTCTACTCCACTGTTCCTCACAGCCACATTAGCTCTTCACATTAGCTCAGCCAATGAGCAACAATAACAAAGATCAAAGCTGAATAGCATCAGAGCATCAAACAGTTTTCATGAAAATAAAGCTGTCAATAAAGGAAATGACTGCTAGTGTGGTGGCTCACACCTGTAATCTCAGCACTTTGGGAGGCCGAGGCAGGTGGATCACTTGAGGTCAGGAGTTTGAGACCAGCCTGGCCAACATGGCTGAAACCCCATCTCTACTAAAAGTAGAAAAATTAGCTGGGTGTGGTGGCACACGCCTGTGGTCCCAGCTACTTGGGAGGCTGAACCATGAGAATTGCTTGAGCCCAGGAGGCAGAGGTTGCAGTGAGCCGAGATCATGCCACTGCACTCCAGCCTGTGGGACAGAGTGAGACTGTCTCAAAAACAAAAAAAGTAAAAAAAAAAAAAAAAAAAAAAAAAGAAAGGTAAAGGAAATGACAAAATGACCCTCTCCCCCCCAGAAAAAGACTAAAGAGCAATGTCAACGTCATCACTAGTCTTGGAGTTGTGAAAGAGCCAGGTATTTTTCAAGTGGCTAATTGGTAGCAATTTTTAAGTAGGAGGTAACACTAGCAGGTGTGAGATTAGGTTGGGCTTTCTCACACACTACCAACAGGAGTAAAAACTGGTATGTAGCACTCTGACGTGTCAAGAGCTTGGAAACTGTCACTCCCATCCTCACAACAGGAGCAAACTGAAAGCTGGTAACTCTTTTCAGAGAATTGAGGTCACAGGGCCAAACACTGCCCCCAAAACAGGAGAGACAAACAAATGCAGAGAATGACAGCTTCCTAGGGACAGAAGCCACTGGAGTGAGTAACTGTAGGAACATTTAAATAGTAACGGACAAACTGCTAAGGCTCAGTTTGAACTAGCTTGAGAGTTAAAAACTCCTGGGGATCCAGTTTAGGGAGCCCCCCCATACTTCCATGAGTTTTACTTCCAGGAACCACCCCTGCCTTCCCCCCAAGTTTTTAAAATGAAGATCAGAGAAAAATTCTCTTGAGCATCAGCAAGAGGAAGGAAAAAGTAATTATTTTGAAATAGGCCAAGGAAAAGTAGAGCAGTTCTGTTATCCAAAACAAAGACCTGCCCTCAAGGAAAACTACTTGACCAGAACCTTATCTGACCTAGGGGAAGGGTAGTTAGATGATTTCAGCCCCGTCTAGCTAAGAAACACCTTAGAAGGTCACAGGCCAGAGATGCAGTACCCCTAAAAAGCCTGAGATTTAATCATAAGATTATAGAATGCTTCTCCTCTCCAACACCTTACCACCACTACAACAAGGTTACAGGAACGTATTAGTGAACTAACACTTAGCAAGCTACAAGACACAGAATCTATTAAGAAAAAATTTCTAAGGAAACCCAAAGACAACAGAGGAGACAAAAGAAATGGGAACTAGGGCCAGGCACAGTGGCTCATGCCTGTAATCCCAGCACTTTGGGAGGCTGAGGCGGGTGGATCACGAGGTCAGGAGATGGAGACCATCCTGGCTAACATGGTGAAACCCCGTCTCTACTAAAAATACAAAAAATTAGCCTGGCATGGTGGCGGCGGGCGCCTGTAGTCCTAGCTACTCTGGAGGCTGAGGCAGGAGAATGGCGTGAACCTGGGAGGCGGAGCTTGCAGTGAGCTGAGATCGTGCCAATGCACTCCAGCCTGGGCGACAGAGCAAGACTCCATCTCAAAAACAAAACAAATCAAAACAAACAAAAGAAATGGGAACTAGAAGAAATTGAAGCTTCTGACATTTACAACCGTAGCAACCATTAAACATAGCCCAGCTCCTAGACGTATCAACATAAAATCTCACACTAAAAGCCTATTTACTTCAGTTCCTATTATCCAGACACATCTTGTCCAGCTTTTAACAAAAATTACTAGGCATAAGATAAAAATACAGGCTGAGAGCATCACAAGCATCAGAAGCAGATTGAGAAATGACAGAGATTTTGGAAGTATCAAACCACTAACTCAAATAACTATGTTTAATATGCTAAGGACTCTAATGGAAAAAGGATAAAATGCAAGAATAGACAGACAAAGCAGAGATGGAAATTCTACAGAAGAATCAAAAGGAAATGCTAGAAATAAAGAACTCTAACAGAAATGAAGAATGCCTTTGATGGGCTCCATCAGCAGACTAGACTCAGCTAAAGAAAGAATCAGCGAACTTGAAGATACATCAATAGATAACGTCAATAGATACTTCCCAAACTAAAATGCAAAGAGAAATACAAAAAAGAACAGAAAACCCAAGAACTGTGAGGCAATCAAAAAAAGTATAACATACAGGTAATGAGACTACTAGAGGAGAGGAAGAAAGATATGCAAAGAACTCTTAAAATTCAATGACAAGAAAACAAACAACCCACTTTAAAAACAGGCTCAAGACCTGAACAGATATCTCATCAAAGAAGATATGCAAATGGAAAATAAGTATATCAATATGAAAAGATGCTCAGTGCTTCCTTCGATAGCTCAGCTGGTAGAGCAGAGGACTGCAGTACTTGCTGAAAAGATGCTCAATGTCAAATGTCACTAGGGAATTGTAAAGTAAAATAATTAGATACCACTATACACCTATTAGAGTGGCTAAAATCCAGAACACTGACAATACCAAATGATAAAGAGTATGTGGAGCAAGAGGAATGTTCTGTCATTGCTGGTGGGAATGCAAAATGGTATAGCCATTGGCAGGTTTTTACAAAACTGAACATACTCTTACGTGACTCAGCAGTTACACTCCTAAGTATTTACCCAAATGAGTTGAAAACTTATGTCTACACGAAACCTGCACATGAACGTTTTTAGCGCTTTATTCATAGTTGCACCAAACTGGAAGGAACTAAGATTGCTTCAATAGGTGAATGAATAAACAAACCAATACATCCATACAATGGAGTACTATTTAGTGTTAAAAAGAAATGAGCTATCAAACCACAAAAAGGTACAAGGGATCATAAATCCTTATTTCTAAGTAAAAGAAGCCAGTCAGAGAAGGCTACATACTGTATGACTCTAACCATATAACATTCTGGGGTTCAGTGGGAGATAGAAAGAGGTGGGATACAAGGCACTTTTAGGACAGTGAAACTTTTTAGGATAGTGAAATTCTTCTGTATGATACCGTAATGGTAGACACATGACATTATACGTTTGTCAAAACCCATAGATGGTACAACACAGAATAAATCCTAACATAGACTAAGGATGGTAGTTAATAGTAATGTATCAATATTGGTTTGACAACTGTAACAGATATGTCATACCAATGCTCTATTACTAGGGAAAACTGTGTGCAGGGGAGAAGCGGTATGAGAACACTGTACTATCTGCTCAATTTTTCTGTAAATCTAACAAAGGTTCTAAGAAATATACTTTATTAAATAAAACAACAACCAAAATGAACTGGTATGAAAAACTCTCTAGAAGCAAAATAATCATGATCTTTGCCTCAGGGACTCTCCTCCTAAGACTATCCCAAGGAAATAAAAAAATTGCAAAACAGCCTTGTCTAAAAGATATTTCATTGTACCATTATTTATAACAATAAAGTCAACCCAAATATGTAATGAGGAAATGCTACAAGTTATTGGATAGCTATATATTATATGACTATTAATGATAGAAAAATTATCACAATAAAAGGATAGTAAGTTGTATTTACAGTATAACTACATTGCTATAATAACAGGTATAAGAAATACCTGTTACATATGTATAGTCAAATAAAATCTGGAAAGCTATACCCTATCTTATCTAATGGTAGAATTACAGATGAGTTTTACTTTCTGACAACAAACACTTTCTAGTAACATGTATTATTCGTATAATAAAAAGGTAACAAGAAATGTAACATAACATGAAGCTTAGAAGTTTAGCAAAGCCCTGGAATTATGAGTTTAAAAATGTCGATTTTCATCATTGGTTCCCCATTATTGCCATATGTAAAAGGCAAGGGAGACCCGCCCCCCTCTTTGGGGGAAGCATTTTGTCTTATTCATTCCTCTATTCTGAGTGACCCAGGGCCTGGAATATAGCACAGGCTCAAACAAGTGCGGGGTGCAATGCACAAACGGAAACCAAACACAACACTGTCCATTCTCATTCTCAATTCTACACAACACACTCGATTTCCTTAAAATTACCACAAAACTGAGGCTACTTCTATAATATGATTGGTAAATCTGTAACACAAAAAGGTCCAACAGAGGACTTAAGCAATGAATTGATCCATCTCTAGATCTCTCTATGAAGGGGTTTTACAACAAAAATCTTCAAAAAATTTACTGCATTTTCATAGTATAATGTGAAACTTTTTTAAAAGATCAATATTTGAACATAGCATATTACAATTAATATAATTAAGCTTTATTATTTAAACGATCATTTATGTTTATTAAGGGGTTGAACATTATTTATCTTAAATACTTACGAAGGAACACCATTGAACTCATCACAAGTTATAAATGGCATTTCCTTAATACTTCTTTGCTCTTTGGGAGGCTTCTTTACGGGTTCAGGTTCTTCAACTTTGATTGGTTCTTCAGGATCAAGATCTGATCCCTTAACACTACAGAATACAGATGTACATACATACAGGCAATTTTCAGAAATAAGCAGCATACTGACAGTTTTCCCAACTGAAAATAATATTAAATACGTAACTCATCCTGTTATAATCTTATTGCCAACATTTTTTTCTATCCCTATGTCTATTGTTCATGAACATTAAACGGTGAAGGAAATGTTGAAAAATTAAGTTCCCAAATCTTCAGTAATATAGCTACATTTATTTACGTGTAACATGATATCTTCATCAGTTGTCCCACCAGCTCCTCAAAGTCAGTAAGTTAACAGCTTTACGGCTTAATAGCTTCTCTTTTTTTTTTTTTTCCTTTTTTTTTTTTTTTTTTTAATTTTTTTTTTTTTATTATACTCTAAGTTTTAGGGTACATGTGCACATTGTGCAGGTTAGTTACATATGTATACATGTGCCATGCTGGTGCGCTGCACCCACTAACGTGTCATCTAGCATTAGGTATATCTCCCAATGCTATCCCTCCCCCCTCCCCCGACCCCACCACAGTCCCCAGAGTGTGATATTCCCCTTCCTGTGTCCATGTGATCTCATTGTTCTAACCCCTTAACAGCTTGTCTTCCTGACGTCCCTAACTCTGAATCTGGAAACATCAGTTATCTTAGACTTCTATTTATTCTAATTTATCCTGATGGTTGCTCATGTCAGTCCCTGTGTATTGCGGAGTCATTTTAGTTGCCAGCAATGATCATGGGTCACCCCTGGATTCAATCTGCCCAATTTTTACAGCGAGTGAGAAGCCGACTAATATAGCTCCTGTCCCACTAGCAACAAAGTCTAGAAACACACTATAGCTTCTAGGTTCCTTAACTGCCAGGGATGTTGCCAGCAGCAAGTCAAGACATAGGAAAGACGACACCAGATATAAGAAACAGTAGGGGGCTGCTATAACTACACATAATAACAAGTATAAGAAATACCTGTAATATTTCTTATACCTGTTATTATGTGTAGTTAAGTAAAATCTGGAAAGCTATACCCTATCTTATCTGAATGGTAAATTACAGATGAGTTTTATTTTCTGACAACAAACACTTTCTAGCAACATGTATTATTTGTATAATAAAAAGGTAACAAGAAATGTAACATAATATAAAGCTTAGAAGTTAAGCAAAGCCCTGGAATTATGAGTGGGAGGATGGCCTCAGGAGCAAGCCAAGGGAATCCCCAGAAAGGCAGGAAGCAAGATCCCAAGATGACAGTCAAATGCCAGACACAGATGGCAACCAGCCTCACTGAGGTGGTGTGACTCGGCCACGCTGCACGCTGTCAAGATAAAGATGCCCAATGCATGATAATCCTTCTGTGAATCCTAACATATGAGATTCCACTGTGAGACTGGCTGAATCGTACCTGTACTTGTTTGTCTTGACCATGTGTTGAGGAAGCACCTGATTGGCTCCCTTATGCCCTGCTGTGTTTATCAGCTGAAAATAACCATTTTCAACTACAGAAAGGTTCTGCTCTCACCTATCCCTGAGAGTTGAGGCTAGGCCATAGTCAGCTTAGAAGAAAATTCCTCCTATTCCCCTGATCAAATTCTTACTGGATGTCCAATGACAGGTAATGGCTGAGAAAGAGCAAGACAGGATAAAGATGCCAAGTCCTCACCGAGGTGATGGGAGGATATGTGGGGAACAAGAGAAACAAGAGAGCCAGGTCTTCAAGATGGAAAATTTGAGGAGAAAATAGCAGGCCATTAAATCGCTGGAACTAGATGTCATATCAAGGCTAGAGCTGGACATTTGAGAGCATTAACAGTGGAGTTGGGTAAGAATGAGTAAAGCAGGTAGGAGAGATCTATAATTTAAAAAAGGGGAGAGAAAAAGGAGGCAGCCAAGTCAGAGAAGTGGGCTGACAACTAAGAAAGCACAGTGGCAGGGCAGAAAACAGAATTTCAAAAACAAAAAGGTGGTATGCAAAATGAAATCTTAGAAGTAGAACCAGGGCTGACGAGGGATTTTTGACCTCTTCATGACCTTCAACCACCCTAGGTGTGGTGGCAATGACAGCCAAAAGCCAGGTGTTAGGGCCTCGGGGAAAAAGCAGAAGCACAGACACACCTTGTAAGGGGGAAGAGAGAGAGGATGGACATTTGAGGGGAAAAAAGAGCTAAGCTTATTGTTCCTTTGGCTTTTATTTATTTATTTATTTTGAGGCAGGGTCTTACTCTGTCGCCCAGCCTGGAGTGCAGTAGCACCATCAGGGCTCACCGCAGCCTTGACCTGCCAGACTCAAGCAATCCTCCCGCCTCAGCTCCCTGAGTAGCTGGGACTACAGGGGTGTGCCACTGTGTCTGGCTAATTTTTTGTATTTTTAGCAGAGATGGGGTTTCACCATGTTGCCCAGGCTAGTCTCAAACTCCTGGGCTCAAGCAATCTGCCTGCCTTGGCTTCCCAAAATGCTAGGATTATAGGCGTGAGCCACTGTGCCCAGCCTCTTTAGCTATTTTTAAAATGGTAACTTCCTTAAGCTTATTTTTACCCAAAGGCAGTGGTTCTCAATGGTCGGGGAAGATTTTGCCCTCAGAGGCATTTGGCAATGTCTGGAGACATTTTTCATTGTCGTGAATGGGTGGGATGGAGGGATGCTACCAGAATCTAGTAGGCAGAGATCAAGAACACTACTCAATGTCCTATTCTCATAACAAAAAATTAACCTGCCTAAAATGTCAAGGAACAAACGTCAGTTGACAAACTGCTCTCAGGGAAAGAAATGAGTGAAAAAAGAGAGGCTAGAGAGACTTGCCCTTGGCAAACTGGGAAAGAAGTGTTAGATTTTCCTCAGAGACACCAAGATAAGAAAACTGGTGAACATGGAAATACTGTTTTTAGTATAGGTGACAAAAAACTAGATCATCGCTGACAAAACTGCAAGTATATGAAAGAACAAAAGGCTTTGAAGAACTTGTTTTCATGGGTTTATAAATCCAGATAGCAAGAATAATTATAAATACACTTACCAGCTCTGGGTTACTGTTACTTGAGGCAAATGGGAAGGAACGTTTTCTTTAAGATGTTCTATGTCTTTGTAATCTTCTTCAAGAGATTCACAGAGTTCCTAAAATTTAAAAGTGCTCACAAATAAGTCTCTGTCCTCCCCATGTGTGTTTTAAGATATTCTAAAGAGCAGGGAAAACAGTGAACCATAATCACAGTGACTGTGGCTGGACGCGGTGGCTCATGCCTGTAATCCCAGCACCTTGGGAGGCTAAGGCGGGTGGATCATGAGGTCAGGAGATCGAGACCATCCCCACTAACACTGTGAAACCCCATCTCTACTAAAAATACAAAAATTTAGCCGGGCGTGGTGGCACGCGCCTATAGTCCCAGCTACTCAGGAGGCTGAGGGGGGAGAACTGCTTGAACCTGGGAGGAGGAGGCTGCAGTGAGCTGAGATCGCGCCACTGCACTCCAGCCTGGGCGACAGAGAAAGGCTCGTCTCAAAAAAAAAAAAAAAAAAAAACCACATTGACTGGAGTACCGAAAATGCAGAATGAAGTGAAAAAGCAATGAATCCAGCAATAAAAAATTGGTTTCTAGAGCTGTTTTTGGATGGTGGTAATATTTTTCTCTACTGGATTTTTTTCAGGGAACAATCACTATAATCACATTGCAATTACAAAGCAGGACTAAAGTTAAGTCTTTCTCAAATACTTTAATCTTGGGAGATAACTAAGAAATATATAAAGAACTTATGTTTTTCATTCTCATAAATTGCGTTTGTTGGCTTACCAAATGCTCCCCAGTGTTACCTGTGTAACAGCAACCATATTATCACAGCATGGTAATATACCCAGCTGGCAAGCATGAGATGCTGCTTTAGGATGACTTCCACTGTGGGCTACCTACATGCCAGCTTAATGAAAATTTCTACTTGAAAGCTGGGGTGTTTTGGTCTCTAACTTTTACTAGAACTTGAGGCTATGAACTCATACACATTTTAATAAGGAAAATATTTTGTGCCTTTGGATTCCCGCCATCTGGCTCCCAATCACAATGTGAACAGAAATTCCAAATAGCCTTCAGTTCTGAGTTGAGCATTCTCTAGGCCCACACCTAACCCTGGACATTCTTGGGCAGGTTAGAACTGAAATGCCGGTATTGGTTTCTGTTTTGAATTTATATAATGTCTTTTCCTTGAAGAGGTGAATGACATTCATGGATACCAATTCCATTTTGACTATTAGAGTGATAGGCATAATCATGCCCATTCCTATAGCTGAACAATCTTTACAGACTTTAAGGATTATAAGGCTGAATGGGGTCAGGGAGGTCCCTTGTTCAATCCCACTGAGCAATTCCCCAGCTCTAACAATGTGAGGTAATTATGGTACAGATTATTTCCCCCTCAGGAAGTGCACCAGCACTTTTATTAGCTGAACTCAATTTGAAGGCTTGTTTAGAATAAAATGTGCATGTGAATGAGGCTCAAGTTTTTCTTTACCTGAGAACCCTTATATTACCTTTTATAAAAATATAGAAATATAGACATATAAGGGAGCTAAGAAACAGTTCAATATGATCCATTATTTTTTCAGATGAGGTTCTTGAAACCCCAACAGGTAAAATAGCTTTCTCAGGGTGGCAGAGAGTACCAAGGACCACCAAGGTAAGAATCCATATCTCCTCACCCAAAGCAGGTGTTCTTTACATACCACTCTACTAGAACATCATTGTTTAAATTAAAGCTACCAAGAATTATTAGCAAACTCTCCTTTTTAGTAAAGTTCAATTCCACTGGCCATCAGCAGAAAGTAGCAGCTGTGGAGCTCCAAATTCCACTATACTAGGAAAATAAAACATAAATGGCATACTGTACCATTAATAATTTATAAACAAAAAACATTATAAACAAAGCATCCTTAAAAATTACTTAATGATTAGGGAGTTTGTATGTATTGTCTTTTTTACTGCTTCCTCATTAGAGAAACATTACCTTGAGTGAATTGTTGGTTTGTTCTTGATACTGAATTTCCAATTCCAATTTATTTAGAAGTTCATTTATTACAATGATCTCATCTCCTATTTTATTTAATACAGTTTTCAAGGTAGGTTCCTGGCCTGTTATAAACAAAAATAAAATAGAAAACAAAGTGTATAGAAAAGCAGTAGCTATAAGTACTCATGCGAACTCTTAGAATAGATAGCTGTACCTTAGAGAGGGGTGGAAAAAGGTCTACTGCTTTAGCCCCTAGAAAATGACTCCATGGACAATCCTGAAACCTCATTTCTAAGTAGTATGGAACAGAAGGAGGCGAGAGGCAAGGACAATGTCTCTCCTGCGTCTTTTGTTTCTGGCAAATTCTTCCACTTATTAAAACACTTAGAAATGCGAGGTAAAACAAGCATCCTTCTACGTCCACAGCTAAGCTTTCATGAGAAAAAGGCAAATTTCCAGGGGTTCCAATATGAAGAGGGAACTGTGGTTCCCCCTCATACCAGGCAGGGTGTGTGAGCTGAGGCTGCAGCAGCCCTAATCTGAGGAGTGTGGAGCAATGCTGGACAGGAGGTTGTCAATCTCAGCAATTGAATATATTTGATTTTAATAGGGATAAGATCCAAGGTTTTGGGGCTTTAAAACACAGGGTGTTGGAAGTGAGAATCTCAAACGAGGCTAGGACTCTTCTTTATGAATATATTTTCAGTGAAAGTTGTAATCACTCACCAGAGAAATAAGCTTATGTTTTAGACAGGCCCTTCAGTGTGTGTGTGGAAGGGGTGGGAGTGAGGTTGAGGTGAAACTCTCTTTCAGAATTTGTAATATGGATTTGGAATTCATATTAACACTATCCACACTATTCAAAACCACCCCTAAGCAGACAAAGTAACATAAAAAGTCACAAGCTGGTGATAACCCTGGGTACCTGGCAAAAACAAACATAAGACATTTATAAAGTAGTATATTCTCATGGTCCCAATCCCACCTCCTAGCACCCCTCTCTAGGTGAGAAAATCAGAGTCCCTTCCTCCCTAGAAATAAAAGAAGTAGTTTTTTAAAAAATTTAAGGGCAGATTAAAAGCACAGAAGAAAAACTACCTTCATAATTGAAGCTTCCCATCTGCATTTCCAGCTATCTAACAATGACATACACATAAGTAAAAGCAGACTTTGGCAATATGTGTAGATTAAGGAGGCAGTAGAGTGAACCAGGTAGAAGGCCTGAAGTCAGAGACACCAAGTACCTACCTCATTACTGTGAAGATAGGTGAAAGTACATATAAGATGGGCTTAGCCCTGCATGTAGAACGTAATACTCAGTAAATGCTAACTGCCATTCATCATCATCATGAGTATATCATTCTATCTAATAGAGCAACACTACTTGCATTTGACACTCAGCTCATAACAAGTAAAACTAATTAATAAGTAAATGAGAGTACTGATGTCTCTGAGAATAATTTCAGTAGAATTAGTTGAACACAGTATTTCTTCCCCATACACTGGTATCTCAACTTTTAGTCACCTAAATTTTAGGGTGTTGTTTACCACTTTTTTTTTTTTTTTTTTTTTTGAGACAGGGTCTTTCTCTGTCACCCAGGCTGGAGTTCAGTGGCACCATCGGAGCTCACTGCAGCCTCAACCTACCAGGCTCAAGCAATCCTCCTGCCTCAGCCTCCTGAATAGCTGGGACTACAGGTAAACGCCACCACACCTGGCTCATTTTTTATTTTGTGTAGAGACAGGGTCTTACTATGTTACTAGGCTGGTCTCAAACTCCTAAGCTCAAGCGATCCGCCTGCCTTGGCCTCCCAAAGTGCTGGGATTACAGGTGTGTGTCTGGTCACTGTTTTTTATGTAGTAATCTAGTCAGTTACAGAAGCCAAAGTAGCAAACAAACTACCAGACTTTATTTTATAGGCTATGGAGCCACACAAATTATTATCCCCCCATACAAAATGACAGTTGACAACTGTGTAAGGATCTCATGGGTCTGACTGCTTCAGCCAGGCCTATGCTTTGGTGGGTCATGTGAATTCAAGGCTTGATAGTTGTATAGATCTCCAAATTATATTTGTTTATCCATGACTAATCATAACCTCAGAAAGTGAATTTAAACAAGACTCATTATTAAACATCTAAAAGTCTTTTACAAATTACTTCAATAAAAATGGCAACAAAATAGAAAGAGTACTAACATGGGAATCAAGAAACAGAAACTGTCGCCCAACCAAGTACTCATGAGCTGAGGGACCTGGGCCAGCCACCTGACTTCCGAGAGTCTCAGTTTCCTCAGGTGTGAGGTCAGGGGGCTCCTTAAGATGAACCCAGTCCCTTTAGCTTTAACTTTCCAGAGTATGTGAACCATAAACTGTAAAATGTATGAGGCTCCTTTATTAGTAGTTATCAATACAGGACTGAGAATATCAACGTCCCTGAGAGGGGAGGTATAATTCGAAATGGCCTATCTAACATTATAATTTCATATTTGAGAAAGTTTTCAAACTACCAATTCATAATACAAACTACAATACAAGTTCAACACAACCTTCCCAGCACATGGAATTCTGTCTGCCAATAAACCGTTACCCTCCCAGATAAGGTTAGGGAGTATGTAATTCTTTAGACATTTTAGATTTGACAAGGATCATCTGTTTCTCTGAACTTTCATTGCATCATCCAATTTCAGCACGTCAAAATATTTTCAAATATACTTAAAATCTCCAAGTTCATGGATGCTTAAATAATTTATTTCATTTTCAATTAGTTATTTCCCAGTGATATAGAGTAATAAGCTTCCTCCAAAGCAGGCTCTAAGATGGGTTATGAACTACTTTTACCCCTATGGAGCTCTACATCAGTTTTTTTAACTTGCCTTTTAATAATGTGCCACATAACAGTGATTCAGTCAACAATGGACCATAAATATGACAGTGGCCCCATAAGATTATAACGGAGCTGAAACATTCCTATTGCCTTGTGACATCGGAGCCATCATAACATCATGGTACAATGCATTATTCACATGTTTGTGGTGATGCTGGTGTAAACAAACTCTAATGCCAGTATTACAAAAGTACAGCACATACAATTATGTATAGTACATAATAATTGATAATAAATGGTTACTAGTTTATGTTATTTACTATACAATACTTTGTATTGTTATTTTAGAGTGTACTCCTTCTACCTATTAAAAAAAAAAAGTTAACTGTAAAACAGCCTCAGGCAGATCCCTCAGGAGATATTCCAGAAGGCATTGTTATCACAGATGACTGCTCCATGTGTGGTACTGCCCCGATGACCTTCTAGTGGAACAAGATGTGAATGTGGAAGACAGATGTTGATGATCCTGACCCTGCATAGGCCTAGGCTAATGTGTGTGTGTGTGTGTATTCGTTTTTGACAAAAAAATTTTAAAAAGTTAAAAAAAAATAGAAAAAAAGCTCATAAAGATATAAAAATATTTTTGTACACCTGTACAATGTATTTGTTTTAAGCTATTAGAAAAGAATAAAAAAGCTAAGCCAAACTAAGAAGTTTATTAAGTAAAAAAGTTATAGTAAGCTAAGGTTAATGTATTATTGAAGAAAGTTTTTCATTTTTTATAAATTTAGTGTAGCATAAGTGTATAGTACTTATAAAGCCTACAGTAGTATACAGTGATGTCCTAGGCCCTCACAGTCACTGTCTCACCCACAGCAACTTCCAGTTCTGCAAGCTCCATCAATGGTAAGTGGCCTATACAGGTGTTCCATTTTTAATCTTTTACTGTATCTTTTCTATGTTTAGATACACAAATACTCACCATTGTGTTACACTTGCCTAAGGTATTCAGTACAGTCACATGCTATACGGGTTTGTTGCCTAGGAGCAATAGGCTATATAGCCTAGATATGTAGTAGGCTATACCATCTAGGTTTGTGTACATTTACGTACATTCTATGATGTGATGTTTGCACAACGACAAAATCATGTAACGCTTTTGTCAGAACACATCTCCATCATTAAGGAACGCATGACTGTATCTCTATTTAGCTGTAGAACCATGGATGCCACATAACCTTCAAATCTCACCATTGGCCTATGTGTCTCAGAAAAACATAAGTAAATAATTCTAATGAATATTCAGTTCATTGTTCAATGTACCTTACATTTTTAGTATCCTCCACAATATTCAAAATGACATTGGACTATTTAAAAAATCGTTATGCAAAAATCTAAAATTACCTAAGATGCAGTCACTTAACCAAGCAAAGATATCATTCAGAGTGGAATAATCAAAATGCATTTTGTATATACAAAGTCAGTGGAATCTGTTTTACTTACCACAGTTTCTTAATGATAAGGTTTTCTTAATATTGCCAATCTTTTCATTAACATGAGAGCATAATTGTTCCAGATCTGACGAGGCCATCCTTTAAGCCTCTGAAGAAAAAAACATAAACATATTCGTAACAAGAAAAGCCACACAAATTTCTGTTCACTTTCGAAATCCAAGAATGGTCAATGTCAAGTAAATCACATGTCTTTGAAGGTTAAGCACAAAAATTCAAGAGCAATTTCTTTCATTTCTACAACATTCAGTTTCTAACCACGGTACCGTACTGACTTGTCTTAGAGCCTTAGGCCATCGATGGATCCCAAACCAGGGGAAAGAGGATAAGCCTGGGTCCTTTCCTTAAGGATTCAGGAGGACAAACGCACTATTTGTATATAAAGACAACATTGGTATTTTCTTTAAACACGCAAAATAAGGACACATTTTTTAAAAATGTGTTACACTGTCAAAGAAATGGGCCCAGGTAATCATTTTTCCTGTGCTGTGAGGGGTTGGGGCTTTACAGTTTGGGATCGGTAAGGAGGCCGAGAAATGGGAAAGAACCAGTTTCCCACCCACTCCGCCGGTGAGAGAGAAGGGGAGGGTCTAAAGCATCCAACCCAGCCTCCAGCCCCGTCCTCCCCCAAGCCCGGCGCGGTCCGCGGCCCCCAGCTGCCAAGCAGCTACCTCGGGCGCTTCCAAAGGCAGGGTCCCCAACACACAGACTCCAACCTCAAGTCCGTCCGGGAGCAAAAGGCTACTCGCCGCTGGGTCTCCAGCTGCGGATACCGCAGTCTCCGTTGGAAGCCCAGGATGGTGAGACGGGACTCTGTAAGCAAAATTCAAACCGCCCGCCGCGCCCTAGCGCAGCGCAGGCGCACATCCATGCTTCCGAAGCGCAGGCTCAGCCGCTGTTCCCGGTTTGCGTCATCCGGGGCCACAGCTGGGCGGGAAGGAGGGGTGGCCGAGCCGGGGAAAGGCGGGGCGACGGCGAAGGCGGGGCTTCCGGACGAAAGGGTAACCCGGAGGTGCTCTTTCCGCGCTAACCAGTCTGGGGAGATTTCAGCAGGTCATGCAGTCTTGACCGCAGCCCAGCCAGGGACCTGGCGTCACCAAGTCCTGGTCTTTGACATTTGCTGCACCTTAGAGTCACCAGGGGCAGCTATTACAAGTCTCAGTGCCTAGAGTACACCCCAAGTCGGTGAAATCAGACACTGGGGAAATGAGGCACAAGCCTTAGTATTTATAAAAACACCCCAGAAAATTCCAAAGAGCAGCTAAGTTTGTGTGGAAGAAACAGTGACCCTGTCTTCTGGGTCTTAGACAGCCTCTGTAAGTGTTCCCGGGCCAAACCAGGGGTTGGGCTGCTTATTCTCATGATGAACTGGGAAAGAAGAGTTTATTTCGGTAACCGGGTACAGGGAAAAGGCCTGGAAAATATCGCCAAATCGATTCAAAATTACAAAGTTTTCCAGAGCTTATATACCTTCTAAACTATCTGTCTACATGTAAGTGTGCATGTGTGTAAAGACGTAAATGATTAACTGTTTCTAATCTATAACTAAGATCAGTCCTAAGGAAGGTCTTTATTTAAGTAAATTTACTTAATCTAGATGGCTGCAGGTGCCAGAGGTGATTACCCTTATCTTG
The DNA here is from genome assembly GCF_000001405.40 of Homo sapiens. Taxonomy (NCBI): domain Eukaryota; kingdom Metazoa; phylum Chordata; class Mammalia; order Primates; family Hominidae; genus Homo; species Homo sapiens. Next base: position 82,083 of record NW_003315956.1, on the reverse strand, counting down.
TCTCCTGCTAAATCATGAAGGTTTGGGCAGTTCCTTCAGACCCCCGATAAACTTGTTTGTGGAGGTCTGGGGGAGTTTCTTCAGACCCCCAATAAAAACTTGTTTAATCTTGAACAGGTCCTGTTAAGAATTCCTTCTTTATTTTCTCATGCTTCAAGGACCAGGAAAGGCCTGGGCAAAACTCTTGGTGGGCTTTTGTTACATACCAGCCTTTCTATAAAGACACTGGCTCTTTCAGCTTTTAATATTTAACTTAACTAGTGCTGAAACAGTGGTTACGGAGGCCTGTCTGTTCAGCTGTTAGTGAGACCTGGCCTGCCACTTAAGAGCAAATATAAATTTAAAATAAGAAAAACAAAAGTTTAATTCTCCCTGTTGAAAAGGAGGGAAAAGCACCCAAGGCTGGAGTGGTGGCACCGCCAGGTTCTGTCCATCCCTTGGCTCCACTGCGCTATTATTATGCACTTGGACCTTCAGGCTGCCAGCCCCTGTCCTCAGGTCTTTCTCCCAGGCAGCAGAAACGAGCAAGAGGCATGTGTAATAGGCTTAACTGCCAACAGAACCAGCACTTTGAGAGCGTTGTGCTGGAAGCCACACCCAGTGGCTTCCATCTGCTTCTCACTGGTCACTCCCATCTGCGAAGGAGACTGAAAAAAATCTTTTGTAAAAAATGTAATCTGGACAGTTACTTTCACTCATGTCCGTATGAAGAGACCACCAAACTGGCCTTTGTGTGAGCAACAAGGCTGTTTATTTCACCTGAGTGCAGGCGGGCTGAGTCCGAAAAGACAGTCAGCTAAGGGAGATAGGGGTGGGGTCGTTTTATAAGATTTGGGTAGGTAAAGGAAAATTACAGTCAAAGGGGGTTGTTCTCTGGCAGGCAGGGGTGGGGGTCACCAGGTGCTCAGTGGGGGAGCTTTTGAGCCAGGATGAGCCAGGAGAAGGAATTTCACAAGGTAATGTCATCAGTTAAGGCAGGAACAGGCCATTTTCACTTCTTTTGAGATTCTTCAGTTACTTCAGGCCATCTGGATGTATACGTGCAGGTCACAGGGGATATGATGACTTAGCTTGGGCTCAGAGGCCTGACAGTTACATTGCATCCTCGAGACTTAAGTTTAGCCTAAAGTTGCCTCCATACATATTTTAAGTTGTGCCTAAAGTTTTCTCTGTAAGTCGCAAACTATAACCTAAATGAAGGTGTAAACAGACTGTAATCTACTCTTGTGCCAGTCACTGAGTTATGGCCGATGAAAGGGGGCCAGCTGCTCAAACCGTGTTCAAATAAGGCAAACACTGACTGTAACCAATCCAGCTGTTGCTATACCTCACTTCCTTTTCTGTACATCACTTCCTTTTTCTGTCTATAAATCTTCCACCACATGGCTGTGCTGAAGTGTCTCTGAACCTACTCCGGCTGGGGAGGCTGCCCGATTGGTGGAATCATTCTTTGTTCAAGTAAACACTGTTAAATTTAATTAGGCTAAAGTTTTTCTTTTAACAGACTATAGGAGTTCTATTTGTAAGGGAGAATGAGAGCATAGATACTGGGTAGGGAAGGAGTTCAGAACACACCACCTCAAAACATGCCACTGTAGCATATTGATTCTTTTGAGTGAAAAGCACTTAAAAAGCAGCAGGTGCAAGAAGGGCACACTGGCCTTCCTTTTTCTTCCTGAAAGCAGAAGATGGAAGTCCCATGTGAGAGATGTCCTCACTACACCAAGAGGAAAGAAACATTCTTATCCCTAGACATGAGAAGTCAAAGACAAGAGACATCTGTACAAACAAAACTTGTTGTGCTTACCGGTATCTTCCTAGTCACTTCTCCATGATTCATTGCCCAAATCTAAGCCCCTTTTTCTTGTCATATTTTCACAATTTACTACTCTGTCCAATATGGTATATAAGCATTTAGCTCTAACTGAATCTTTGGGTCTTCATTTTTCTTGTGAGGATTCCCATGTACAAGTAAAAAAAATTATTAATATTGTATGCTTTTCTCTTGTTAATCTGTACTATTTCAGTTCTGGCCAGAGACCTTAGGAGGGTGGAAGAAAATTGTATCCGTCACTGTATAATTTCCTCATGTTATATCATCACATGAACAATTCTAGATTATTTATGAATTTCATATTTTTCATACCCAGCTGACTTTGAAAGAAAAGATTTTATTTTTATTTTTTGTATTTCTACTTTGTGCTTTTTCTTACAGCTAGGTGTCAAGGTTAACTTCTGGATGTCCCCAAGTCAGAATTAACTAAGAGCCTCATTGTAGAATTAGGATTGAGGATCTCTGTAAGCAACAGGATTGCATTTCTGGGCATTTTGGGAAACATTTATTCTAATGTTTTGACCAATGACAAGTGACCAGCTGGTCCAATAGGTTTTGGGGCAGCTTCATAGATCTCTGGTGCTGATAAGTCTTCATTCAGAAGAGGGAGGGCCCACTGAAATAGATGGGGTGCATTCTGAGATGCCTCACTGATCAGAATTGACCCAAGGCAGATTATATTTTTACATTTCCTATTAATCTACAGTCCTTTGGCTTGTTTTTAAGTCTTTTTCCAGCTGACATAATTAAAATCCATTGCATGTACTTGTAACACAGTACTCACTGGGATAATTTCTTAATTCTCACAAGCAGTCATAGCAGCTGAGACAAATCATTTCAGAAAATCAAACTCTTCCCTTTTTCAATGTCTCATGTCCTCAAATGATATGTAGTTCTTGTGGTGTTGGTTGATTTATTTGCTTTAAACCAGAGAAGAGAGGAAGAAGAAAAATGTCTTACAATTTTCCTGGTGTTCTTTCTTTACCATATTGAGTCTTTATCCAATATATACTTTTTTAGCATTGTAGTCAGAGCCCCAATTTCTGTGCCACCAGAGCTACCCCTAACAAAGGCCCAGTGCTCTGTAATATGAATAGAGGCAGGAAAGGAAAGTACTCAACATGCAAAACTTCTCGCTCCCTCTCTTTCTTTCTCAGTCTCTCTTTCTGATGTCGAAAATGACACCCATACATGAGACAAGGGAAGATGGAAAAAAAAGATGGAGACCTTCTCCTCAGTCATTAAATGGCTCTGTGAACTTGGAAAGTGGATGGTTTTTTGTTTTGTTTTGTTTTGTTTTGTTTTGTTTTTTTTCTGAGATGGAGTCTTGCTTCATCACCCAGGCTGGAGTGCAGTGGTGCAACCACGGCTTACTGCAACCTCTGCCTCCTAGTTTCAAGCAATTCTGCTGCCTCAGTCTCCTGAGTAGCTGGGATTACAGGCATGTGCCACCACACCCAGTGAATTTTTGTATTTTTAGTGGAAACGGGGTTTTGCCATGTTGGCCAGGCTGGTCTCAAACTCCTGACCTCAGGTCATCCACCCCCGTCAGCCTCTCAAACTGCTGGGATTACAGGCATGAGCTGCTGCCCCCAGCCCAAAAGTGGATGGTTTCTGAGATCACTTCCAGCTCAAAACACTAGGTTCTTTTTCTTGTGAAAAGTATTTCATTCTTCCTGTAGCCTGCTTAAAAAATATAAATATGTTGCTGTAGAAGAGATGGACTTCTAAGTTTAAAAGAATAGAGACTGCCTCACAGTTTTTCTTCCCCTACTTCTTAACAAGATGCACCCAAAATCAGTTTAAAAAAAAGAAAACCTCTCCCCAAAAAATCAATAATAATTGCCAACAAGGAAAGGGAGATAGTGGAATGCAAAACTTTAAAAAGTGATATCAGGGAGGAAAATGAAGGATTCTGGAGCACAGAGGATAAGTAGCCTGGCTCCTAATCACACACCACCCCTGAAGTCATTTGAAAAGCCCCATATCTGATAATTGAAACCCTGAAGATTAACAACTGGAAAATAGCCTTTCTTTTTTCTCTCTTCATAGCCATGGCTCTAATTCATTCTAGTTTCCCTCTGGGAAAATTACCTAAAGGTTAGGCATATTCCCTAAAGGGATGGACCACTCCTTGAAATTGTGAAAAAGCAGAACATTGGTTCAGGGCATCTAACAAAGAAAGGAAATGAAGAGGGAGGCAAGAAAGGAAGACCCCCTGCAAAGATTGATAAAGAAACTGACCTGGGAGAATACATGATTAAAGTAATAGTAATAAACTGTGTATTTGTGTATATACGTTATATATACATTAACTAATTTAAAATAAGACCTCATAGAGAAGAACATAAACAGCAGCAACAGAAACAGATAAATGGAGATCATCACACTTAAAAATACAAAGTGAGGATCCAAACAACACCATTCAACACACTGAAGTACAAATTGGAAGGAATAGAAAAGACACTACTGGAAGCTAAGTTAAAAGAAAATCTTAAGATCATAACAATACATGCAGCTGAAAAGAAAATAAATTAAAGCAAATACAACAAAGCCCACAGAATCAGAATGTAGAAATGATCCAACATGAGGATAATTGGTGTCCTAAATGCAAAGTGCCCCAAAATATGGAACAGAAGAATTCAGAAGATGTAATAAAGGGGATTACATAGAAGAAAAAAAATGAACCTCTAGATGGAGACACACATTGCAGTCCAGGAAAATTTATTAAGAGAGGTTTTATAACTAGAATATACAACTTAAAGAAAGAGTTACTTAAGCATCCAGGCAAAAAGCAAATTGGCTATAAATGGGGAAAAAAATCAGGCTGGACAACTGCAGAGTAACATTTTCCCCCCAACTTTTTATTTTGAAAAATTTCAAACTTACAGGAAAATGAAAAGAGTAGAATACCAAATATTCATACACCTTTCACTTAAAATTTTCAAATGGTAACATGTTGCAACATTGTGCTCCCTAGGTATCTACGCATATGTAGTCATGGTTTAAAAATGTGTCCACAAATTATTTGATGCCCTTCCATCAAGAGGTAGAGTGTAAGTCCCTTCCCTTTAAAAATAGGCTGCCCTCAGAGAGAAAGGTCAGGTTACCCACAAAGGGAAGCCCATCAGACTAACAGCGGATCTCTCAACAGAAACTCTACAAGCCAGAAGAGAGTGGGGGCCAATATTCAACATTCTTAAAGAAAAGAATTTTCAACCCAGAATTTCATATCCAGCCAAACTAAGCTTCATAAGTGAAGGAGAAATAAAATCCTTTACAGACAAGCAAATGCTGAGAGATTTTGTCACCACCAGGCCTTCCTGAAGGAAGCACTAAACATGGAAAGGAACAATTGGTAACAGCCACTGCAAAAACATGCCAAATTGTAAAGACCATCGATGCTAGGAAGAAACTGCATCAACTAACAAGCAAAATACCCAGCTAACATCATAATGACAGGATCAAATTACACATAAAAATATTAAACGTAAATGGGCTAAATGCTCCAATTAAAAGACACAGATTGGCAAATTGGATAGAGTCAAGACCCATCACTGTGCTGTATTCAGGAGACCCATCTCACATGCAGAGACACACATAGGCTCAAAATAAAGGGATGGAGGAAGATCTACCAAGCAAATGGAAAACAAAAAAAGCAGGGGTTGCAATCCTAGTCTCTGATAAAACACACTTTAAACCAACAAAGATCAAAAGAGACAAAGAAGGCCATTACATAATGGTAAAGGGATCAATTCAACAAGAAGAGTTAATTATCCTAAATTTATATGCACCCAGTACAGGAGCACCCAGATTCATAAAGCAAGTCCTTAGAGACCTACAAAGAGACTTAGACTCCCACACAATAATAATGGGAGACTTTAACACCCCACTGTCAACATTAGACAGATAAACGAGACAGAAAGTTAACAAGGATATCCAGGAATTGAACTCGGCTCTACACCAAGCAGACCTAATAGACATCTACAGAACTCTCCACCCCAAATCAACAGAATATACATTCTTCTCAGCACCACATCACACTTATTCCAAAAGTGACCACATAGTTGGAAGTAAAGCACTCCTCAGCAAATGTAAAAGAACAGAAATTATAACAAACTGTCTTTCAGACCACAGTGCAATCAAATTAGAACTCAGGATTAAGAAACTCACTCAAAACCACTCAACTACATGGAAACTGAACAACCTGCTCCTGAATGACTACTGGGTATATAATGAAATGAAAGCAGAAATAAAGATGTTCTTTGAAACCGATGAAAACAAAGACACAACATACCAGAATCTCTCAGACACATTTAAAGCTGTGTGTAGAGGGAAATTTATAGCACTAAATGCCCACAAAAGAAAGCAGGAAAGATCTAAAATTGACACCCTAACATCACAACAAAAAGAACTAGAGAAGCAAGAGCAAACACATTCAAAAGCTAGCAGAAGGCAAGAAATAGCTAAGATCAGAGCAGAACTGAAGGAGATACAGACACAAAAAACCCTTCAAAAAATCAATGAATCCAGGAGCTGGTTTTTTGAAAGGATCAACAAAATTGATAGACCACCAGCAAGACTAATAAAGAAGAAAAGAAGAATCAGATAGATGCAATAAAAAATGATAAAGGGGATATCACTACCAATCCCAAAGAAATACAAACTACCATCAGAGAATACTATAAACACCTCTATGCAAATAAACTAGAAAATCTAGAAGAAATGGATAAATTCCTGGACACATACACCATCCCAAGACTAAACCAGGAAGATGTTGAATCCCTGAATAGACAAATAACAGGCTCTGAAATTAAGGCAATAATTAATAGCCTACCAACCAAAAAAAGTCTAGGACCAGGCAGATTCACAGCTGAATTCTACCAGAGGTACAAAGAGAAGCTGGTACCATTCCTTCTGAAACTATTCCAATCAATAGAAAAAGAGGGAATCCTCCCTAACTCATTTTATGAGGCCAGCATCATCCTGATACCAAAGCCTGGCAGAGACACAACAAAAAAAGAGAATTTTAGACCAATATCCCTGATGAACATCCATGCAGAAATCCTCAATAAAATACTGGCAAACCGAATCCAGCAGCACATCAAAAAGCTTATCCACCACAATCATGTTGGCTTCACCCCTGGGATGCAAGGCTGGTTCAACATATGCAAATGAATAAACGTAATCCATCATATTAACAGAACCAAAGACAAAAACCACATTATTATCTCAATAGATGCAGAAAAGGCCTTTGACAAAATTCAGCAGCGCTTCATGCTAAAAACTCTCAATAAACTAGGTATTGATGGAACATATCTCAAAATAATAAGAGCTATTTATGACAAACCCACAGCCAATATCATACTGAATGGGCAAAAACTGGAAGCATTCCTTTTGAAAACTGGCACAAGACAGGGATGCCCTCTCTCACCACTCCTATTCAACATAGTGTTGGAAGTTCTGGCCAGGACAATCAGGCAAGAGAAAGAAATAAAGGGTATTCAATTAGGAAAAGAGGACATCAAATTGTCCCTGTTGGCAGATGACATGATTGTATATTTAGAAAACCCCATTGTCTCAGCCCCAAATCTCCTTAAGCTGGTAAGGAACTTCAGCAAAGTCTCAGGATACAAAATCAATCTGCAAAAATCACAAACATTCCTATACACCAATAACAGACAAACAGAGTGCCAAATCATGAGTGAACTGCCATTCACAGTTGCTTCAGAGAATAAAATACCTAGGAATCCAACTTACAAAGGATGTGAAGGACCTCTTCAAGGAGAACTACAAACTACTGCTCAACTAAATAAAAGAGGACACAAACAAATGGAAGAATATTCCATGCTCATGGATAGGAAGAATCAATATCATGAAAATGGCCATACTGCCCAAGGTAATTTATAGATTCAATGCCATCCCCATCAAGCTACCAATGACTTTCTTCACAGAATTGGAAAAAACTACTTTAAAATTCACATGGAACCAAAAAAGAGCCTGCATTGCCAAGACAATCCTAAGCCAAAAGAACAAAGCTGAAGGCATCACGCGACCTGACTTCAAACTATGCTGCAAGGCTACAGTAAGCAAAACAGCATGGTACTGGTACTAAAACAGAGATATAGACCAAAGGAACAGTACAGAGCCCTCAGAAATAGTATCACACATCTACGACCATCTGATCTTTGACAAACCTGACAAAAATAAGAAATGGGAAAAGGATTCCCTATTTAATGAATGGTGCTGGGAAAACTGGCTAGCCATATGGAGAAAGCTGAAACTGGATCCCTTCCTTACACCTTATACAAAAATTAATTCAAGATGAATTAAAGACTTAAATGTTAGACCTAAAACCATAAAAACCCTAGAAGAAAACCTAGGCAATACCATTGAGGACATAGGCATGGGCAAGGACTTCCTGCCTAAAACACCAAAAGCAATGACAACAAAAGCCAAAATAGACAAATGGGATCTAATTAAACTAAAGAGCTTCTGCACAGCAAAAGAAACCACCATCAGAGTGAACAGGCAACCTACAGAACGGAAGAAAATTTTCACAATCTACCCATCTGGAAAGGACTAATATCCAGAATCTACAAAGAACTTAAACAAATTTATAGGAAAAAATCAACCCCATCAAAAAGTGGGTGAAGGATATGAACAGACACTTTTCAAAAGAAGATATTTATGCAGCCAACAGACACATAAAAAAATGCTCATCATCACTGGCCATCAGAGAAATGCAAATCAAAACCACAATGAGATACCATCTCACACCAGTTAGAATGGCGATCATTAAAAAGTCAGGAAACAGATGCTGGAGAGGATGTGGAGAAATAGGAACACTTTTACACTGTTGGTGGGACTGTAAACTAGTTCAACTGTTGTAGAAGACAAGTGTGGCGATTCCTCAAGGATCTAGAACCAGAAATACCATTTGACCCAGCCATCCCATTACTGGGATTATAAATCATGCTGCTATAAAGACACATGCACACGTATGTTTACTGTGGCATTATTCACAATAGCAAAGACTTGGAACCAACCCAAATGTCCATCAATGATAGACTGGATTAAGAAAATGTGGCACATATACACCATGGAATACTATGCAGCCATAAAAAATGATGAGTTCATGTCCTTTGTAGAGACATGGATGAAGCTGGAAACCATCATTCTGAGCAAACTATCCCAAGGACAGAAAACCAAACACCGTATGTTCTCACTTATAAGTAGTAATTGAACAATGAGAACACTTGGACACAGGGTGGGGAACATCACACACCAGGGCCTGTTGTGGGGTTGGGGGAGGAGGGAGGGATAGCATTAGGAGATATACCTAATGTAAATGACGAGTTAATGGGTGCAGCACACCAACATGGCACATGTATACATATGTAACAAACCTGCACGTTGTGCACATGTACCCTAGAACTTGAAGTGTAATAAAAATAAATAAATAAAAATAAAAAGTCTGGCCTTAGTTCATCATTGCCAATGAATAGACTATTTCAAAAGCAATATTTTGTGAATTCCAAGGCTAGTTCATAGAAAATGGTACAGCTTACACCTCTCTCTTTATATTAGAACACTCAACTTTGTTTCTCAAGGCTTATGCTGTAGAATGAATGTTTATGTCCCTCCTCAAATTCTTATTTTGAAACCTAACCACTAAGGTGATGTTATTAGAACACAAGCCCTTTGGGAGGTTATTGGGTCATGCGGGCACACCTTATGAATGGGATTAGTGCTCTTATAAAAGGTACCCCAAAGAACTGCTGCACCCCTCTGCCATGTGAGGTCATTCTGCCATATACAGCCATCTATCAACCAGGAATCAGGCTCTCACCAGACACTGAATATGCTAGCACCTTGATCTTTGACTTCCAAGCCTTCAGAAGTGTGAAAAATAAATTTATGTGGTATATATGCCCCCAGTCTGTGGTATTCTGTTACAGCAGCCTGAATGGAATAAGATAGCTAAATTTCTGCTGAGTGTGGCCAAAGGTTGGGGACTCCCTTGTCTACCTAGCCCCTACTCGCAGGATAGAGGCTCTACCCTAGGCTTGGCAGAACAAGACTACCATGGTCCCAATCACCCCTGCTGCAGCTCACTCATTGAGCAGAGGTTCCATGCCAAGATAGGCAAGCTAAAAAGACCAGCAGCCACTATCCTCATCCAGCACCACAGTACTGGTTCAAACGTTCTGCCCATGAGGAGAGAGATAGCATTTAAGAACAGAGAGTCCTGAAGTTCTGCAGAAAGGAACTGACTTTGAGACAGGGTGTAGGGACGTTCAAGCCTAAGGGTGCCTTGAAAACAATGGAGATTTTGGTGTAAAGCAAACGAGGAGGTTGGTATCTCCTCTTAATTAATCAGAACAAAACCATCTAGTTCACCAGAGAGAAACAAGAGATAACCAAGAATAGTCCTCCTGGGATTAAAACAAACTTCAAATTTGTTTTAATTTGCCTGACAGATTGACTTCTGGCATGACAGCTTGAGGACCTCTGCTGATTCTATCCCCAGTGAAATTATTAAAAAGCATTAAAAGTATTAAAAAGCAATGACTTGAAGCCTCTGAAAATGGTCCTCAGGGCAAATAACAAACAATGAAACAGTTATCATATGGCCCCATTTTTACAAAAGTATTTCCTCCTCTCTAGGTATTTCTTTAATCACATACGTGATTTTAAAAAATGTTCTGTCAAATGGTGCTCAACTAATAACTACGATTAATTCTCAGCAATGGGATGTGGTGTGATTTTTATTTTCATTTTTGCATTTTTATGCACTCTGAGTTTTTATTTGTAAGCATCTATCATTTTAATAAGGAAGTAAATCAGCATGAATTTTTATAAAGAAGGAAGTTTGGGCTGGGTGCAGTGGCTCACACCTGTAACCCCAGCACTTTGGGAGGCTGAGGCAAGTGGATCACTTGAGGCTAGCAGTTCAAGACCAGCCTGGTCAATACAGTGAGACCCAATTTCTACAAAAAACAAAATTTAATAATTAGCTGGATGTAAAAAAAATTACCTGGGTGGCATGCACCTGCAGTCCCACCTCAGAAGGCTGAGGTGGGAGGATTGCTTGAGCCCAAGAGTTCAAGGTTACAGTGAACTATGATTGTGCCACTGGACTCCAGCCTGAGTGACAGAGCAAGACCTTATCTCTAAAAAGAAAAAAACAAAAAACAAACAAAAAAGGGAGTTTGGACAAGAAGTAAATATGCCAATCAGGTAACACACATTGCTATGACATTATAGGATGTTTTCTGTATTTTCCTTTTTAAAAATTATTTAATTACTTTATTTTTTATAAATAGAGACGAGATCTCACTGTGTTACCTAAGCTGGTCTCAAACTCCTGTACTCAAGCGATCCTCCCTCCTCAGCCTCCGAAAGTGCTGGGATTACAGGCATGATCCACTGCACCTGGCCTGTATTTTCAATAGACATAAGTGAGGCACACACTGTCTTAGCTCAGGCTGCTATAAGAAAATATCATAGACTGGGTGGCTTAAACAACAAACATTTATTTCTCACTGTCTTAGAGGCTGGGAAGTCCAAGATCAAGGTGCCAGCTGACTGAGTTCCTGATAAGGGCCCACTCCCTGACTTCCAGGTAGCTGTCATTGTGTCTTCACGTGGTGAACAGAGAGAGAGAGAGAGAGAGAGATCTTCCTCTTCATATAAGGCCACTAATCCTATAAGCCCCACTCTTGAGACCTCATTAACTTTAATTACCTCCTAAAAGCTGTATTTCCAAAGTCAGTCATGTTGGAAGTTAGGGCTTCAACATGTGAATTTTTGGGAAACACAATTCAGTCTATAGCACATACATATAATTTTTTTGTTTTACTATGAAAGGCTAAACTTTTATGTCTCCAGCTGTTAGTGTCTAGCATTTTAATGTGACAGAATGTGTTTAGAGAATAAGAGGATAAAATAAGGGGGGAAGGAACAAAGACACACACAACAAAATTTATTTAACGATGTCCAATTATAGTAAGAAAAACTTTCCTCCTTCAGGTTGCAGTGAGTTGAGATTGTGCCATTGCACTCCAGCCTGGGCAACAAGAGTGAAACTCTGTCTCAAAAAAAAAAAAAGAAAAACTTTCCTCCTTCTAGTTCACGTTAGAGGATGGCTGCTGCATAAGGGGGTATAAAATGTCCAACCCAAGCAATAACAATATCTGAATAATCCCACAAACCCTCACAGGCTATAGGTGCACTGACCTCAAGAGTGACTTAGAGACTGGGCATGGTGGTTCATGCCTGTGATTCCAGCACTCGGGGAGGCTGAGATGGGTGGATTGCTTGAGACCAGGAGTTTGAGACCAGCCTGGCCAGCATAGCGAGACCCCCCATCTCTATTTTTTAAAAAAATTTTAAAAAACAACAATAAAGAGTGATTCAGAGCTGACTGGAAATTGGAGCACTGCCTTCTGTTTAAAGAAAAGGAGGCTGGGTGTGGGGCTCATACCTGTAATCCTAACACTTCAGTAGGCCAAGGCAAGCTGATTGCCTGAGCTCAGGAGTTCAGGACCACCCTGGGCAACATGGTGAAACCCTATCTGTACTAAAAATACAAAAAAAAAAAAAACAAATTAGCCAGGCCTGGTGGCGCATGCCTGTAGTCCCAGCTACTTCGGAGGCTGAGGCACGAGAATCCTTTGAACCTGGGAAGTGGATGTTGCAGTGAGCTGAGTCGCGCCACTTCACTCCAACGCAGGCAACAAAGGGAGACTGTCTCAAAAAAAAAAAAAAAAAAAGAAAAAGAAGGAAAAAGAGATGTATTAACATAGCAGCTTTGTGGTACTGAATTGCTTGTTTTTTTTTTTGTTTATTTGTTTGTTTTAATAAGCAGAGATTGTATTTCAGCACCTTTTGCCCATGCTTCCTTTTCAACACAAAGGAAAAGAGTAAAAGCACTGTTACCATTCAAGGTGGAAAATTCAATTTGGATCACTGGAGGAGAATTTAATAAAAAGAAATATTTAAAATATATGGGTAGTTTACAGAAGATAGCAAATGATGATGGAGTTCTCTGGGGCTTGCAATCTCAGGGAACAGTTATTATTACCTCTAAGCACAAAGATTGAAGGTCATGGGGTGAGGGGTCTATGGAATGGGTCACCTGACAGGAACTATGGCCTTCAGTATCAATTCAGAGAACACTCATGGGGAGAATAAATACCTGCCTCCATTCTCCTCCCACCTATGGATCTTTTGCTGATAACCCTACACTGGTTGGCTGAACCCAACCTGAAGCCAGAAGGCAAAGGAAACCCTAGGTCAGCACCCACATTCCCCCACTGGGTCCAGGACTGGCTGGAAAACCACAGAGAGTGGATCTTAGGGGGCAAATGGAAGACACCAGCACAAGCCTTTAGATTATGCTGTTCACATACTGACATACTTTGTGAATTTGATAAAGTATTTATCAGAACAGTCATTAGTATTTTACATATAAATATTTGAAATCAAGTACTATAATAAGTTACATAAGTATATCTTTTATTTGATAGGGATTTTTCCCAATGCATTTTAAGCACTTTAAAGGATATTGTTACGTTGGTATTTACAAAGTGGGCAGTTGTCCAGTTTCTGAGATAGAGAAGTATAAGGCTTGCCAAATTTCCTAGAATCAATTAGTTGTGGAAGCAGCTGCCAATCTGATCTCTAATAACGGGCCACAGCAAAGCCAGACAGAACCATTTTCATGTCATTTACATCAATGTTTTCATTTTGCCAGATAGGTTTTAATCTCCCAGGCCAAGGCATTTTTCTTGCTTATCTCCTGAAAGTTATTTTTTTTAAGGAAAAATTTAACTATAAAAAGGAAAACACAGAATTTCATTTTATTAACTGCCATTATGATGTGCAAGTCTATATAATGTATAATGAGGCAGTTTTGGTGTTTTAGAAGTCCTCTATGTGGATACAACTAAGCATACTGAGGTACAGATTCTGTATATAACCTTTATATAAGGTTAAATTAATAACATGTACTTCAAAGATGCTTATAGTAAATTGCAAGATTGTAGATCTTTGCATCAAAGATTTATCATACATCATTAGAGCACTCCCAAACCTCCAAATAAACTTCCCAGATAATTTAGAAAATGGTTAAATTATGATAGGAATCTTTCACGTGACATTGCATCACTGTTATAGCAGAGGGGACAAACCTAGGCACAGTGAATTCACCTTCCCAGATGCAATTGGTGTTTGAGAAAAATTGAGGCTGCCCAGAATGAGTCAAAGCTGCAAATGAGCTCCCCAGAGCCTGGCTACATTCAGGGGAGTAGAATGTGTGCCCCTACCATGATGGTTGGTAGAGCAGCAAAGCTCAGTACTCTGTTCACCATGTAGTGGTCACATGCACATTCTGCAGTTGAGTGGATTGGGTCTCCCTTGCCAGACTTGATGAAGCTGTTCCAAGGCCCAGATTTTCACCTCTGCATTTTCGCTTGTACCCTGTTGCCAAACCATTCACTTCACCTCAGTGCCTGGGCAGGAACATCACCACTGTGATTCTACTTTCATAAGCAGTGACAAGTGTGAGTTCACTGTTATGACAAAGGATGTGGTTGCCAATTCCGAAGCTGCTGTGGATGGCAGTAAGGCAGGATAGAGTGGAAGAGGCAAGCTGGTCACCTCACCCCCGAGCCCCACTCCACACAATGCATTTCTTTTTTTTTCTTTTTCTTTTTTTTTTTTTTTTTGAGACAGAGTTTTGCACTTGTTTGCCAGGCTGGAGTGTAATGGCAGGATCTTGGCTCACTGCAACCTCCTCCTTCCAGGTTCAAGCGATTCTCCTGCCTCAGCCTCCTGAGTAGCTGGGACTACAGGCATGTGCCACCATGCTCAGCTAATTTTGTATTTTTAGTAGAGACAGGGTTTCTGCACATTGGTCAGGCTGGTCTCAAACTCCCGACCTCAGGTGATCTGCCCACCTCAGCCTCCCAAAGTGCAGGATTATGAGCATGAGCCACCGCGCCCGGTCCACCCAATGCATTTCTTAACTGTCTGTCCTCCTGACTAGGGTCTACACCTCTCTGCCATCCATTATACTTCACTGGTCTTGCCCAGCTCCTGGTCTTGCCTCTTCCACTCTATCCTGCCTCACTGCCATCCACAGCAGCTTCAGAATTGGCAACGACATCCTTTGTCGTAACAGTGAACTCACACTTGTCATTGCTTATGAAAGTAGAATCACAATGGTGATGCAGTTGACAGGAGGGCAGCCACACCTGACATTATGGTCAGTAGTGAGCTTGGGGGTGATGGCAGCTCCCTTTCTGAAATGCTGATGTGGAAACCCAGGCTTCTTTGCATGAGGCACACATCCTCTCTTGATTTGGCCCCTGCCTGCCTCATCAGCTTCATCTTTCAGCACCTCCTGCTTGGACGTTTATCTCACAGCAACAGCTGCCTGTAGGGTTGCTCCTGTGCCCCTGTGTGTGACCCCCCACCCCTCCCTCTGCCATCAGGACACACACAAGCCCTGCCAGCCCACCCATGTTGTCTGACCCCACTAAGTCTTTGGTTATGATGTTCTTTCTACACCTCTCATTATTCTCTATCTCAATCATCCATTCATTTTTCAAAATGTAGTGAACGAATCCCCTCCCATTGGAAGCCTTCCTTGATCCCTTCTTGGATTAAGTTTCCCTGCGAGTTTTCTTCTGATTTAGTTGGTCTAGGGGTGGGGTTCAGAATCAGAAATTTAAAAACTCCTTGGATAATTCTAATGTGAATCAGAGTTGAAAGCCATTGAGGGAAAAGAAAGGGAAGATGGGAGGAAACAAGACGGTGGGGCTTTCCAGGTTCCTACCTGAGGCTCACTGGTCTTCTACTGAAATGCAACACCAGGAGGGGTGTCAGGAGTTGAACTGTGCTCACCCCACATTCATATTTCAAAGTCCTAACCCCCAATACCTCAAAATGTGACTTATTTGCAGATAGGATCTTTACAGAGGTAATCAAGTTAAAATGAGGTCATTTGCTGGGCCCTAAACCAATATGACTATTGTCTTTACAAAAAAGAGGAAATTTGGACATGAAGACATGCAGAGAGGATGGTGATGTGAACAGGCAGGGAGAAGATGGCCATACAAGCCAAGGAGAGAGGCTTGGAGCAGACCTTCCCCTCAGAGGAAACAACCCCTGCCAATACCTTGATTTCAAACTTCTTACCTCCAGCGCTGTGGACAATAAAGTTCTGTTGTGTAAGAAGCCACTCAGTTTGTGGTACTTTGTTTTGGCAACCTGAACAAATCAATACAGAGGGTAACAATAAGAAAAAGCCCTACCAGCGTATTGCTTGAGCTCAGGAGTTCAAGACCAGCCTGGGGACCATGGTGAAACCAGGTCTCTTAAAAAAAATACAAACATTAGTCAGGAGTGGTGGCACGCACCTGTAGTCACAGCTACTCAGGAGGCTGAGATGGGAGGATCGCTTGAGCCCAGGTGGATGAGGCTGCAGTAAGCCATGATGGTGTCACTGCACTCCAGCCTGGTTGACAGAGAAAGACCCTGTCTCAAACAAATAAATAAATAACAAAAGAAAAAGAAAAAAAAAATTCTCCACCATCCCTGGATTCACTTGTATTTCCTATGAGCTAAGCCTGGGCTCTTCCTGGTGATGGATTGAACTTATCTTTGCATTGAGGAGATATTGTTTTTAAAAATCATGAGCTCTAAAGGAAAGGTTTTTGTGTTCAATACACTCTGTAAGAAATGAATAAGAATGTTCAGATAATCTTTATGTAGGTCCTTAAGAGTTAAGCTTTGAGTAGAGAGGCTGTTTCTTGATGATGCCAAAAGGATGAAGTATTACCATAAAGCAGAACACGTTATCTCTGAGTGCTATCAATAAAGCTCCATCCAAATCATAGCTTACTTAGAATGCTGAATATTTGTCATCTTCCTCAAACGTGAGAAAACAGATTTTGGCTTTATTGTAATGCTGGCTGGAAGGTTTACTTGCCACATGGCCACAAGGTGGCAGGGCAGTGCCATTCTTCTGGAAGCCACCAGAAAAACGCAGCTAGGACTACGTGGCCACAGGTAGGAAGTCAGCAGTGCTCTTCAAGTTTATGAAGTTGAACTTTCGCTCTCTTTTTAAGCACTCCCTTTTTCTGAAAATCAAAGTAGCACATGTTTTTAATTGAAAATGTTATCCTGGGCAACATAGTGAGACCCTGACTTTATAAAAAATTTAAAAATTAGCCAGCTGTGGTGGTACACACCTGTAATCCCAGCTACTCAGGAGGCTGAGGCACGAGAATCACTTGAACCCAGGAGGTGGAGGCTGCAGTGAGTAGAGATTGTGCTGCTGCACTCCAGCCTGAGTGACAAAGAGAGACCCTGTCTCAAACACACACACACACACACACACACACACACACACACACAGAAAAATATAAAGAATAAAACAAAAAATTCATTATCCCACCACTCAGAAACAAACATGGGATGTGTAGACCATTCCCAGCCTTCTCTGCCAATGCCACCTGCTTAGGATACCCCTCTCTCACCTGCTCTGCAACACCCCTCCTGCCTTATCTCTCTCACTTCCTCACTCTGCCTAACGTGCCTCTCCCCATCTTTCTTCTTAACACTCACTACTATTTCACAGCAGTTGTCACTGCCTCCTCTGCTAGTCCGTGAGCACCATGTGGGCAGATAGCTTGTCCTGTCAACCCCTACCACCAGGAGCAGCAGTCCCAGGATGTCAACCCACTGCATTGCAGAACTGTCTATTTCTCCCTTCAAGTCTGTCATTTTTTTGGCTTCATACATTTTGGAGTTCTGTTGTTTGGTGCATGTCTCAGTCCCTTTTGTGTTGCTATAAAAGAATACCTGAGACTGGGTAATTTATAAAGAAAAGAGTTTTATTTAGCTCATGGTTCTGCAGGCTGAGGATCTCAATGGCATGACCCTGGCTCTGGCAAGGGCTTCTGTGCTGAGTCACAACATGACAGAGAAGGGCAAAGAGGAAGCAGACGTGTGAAGAAAGAGAAACATGAGGGGTGACCTGGCTTTGTAACAACCACACTTGTAGAAACTAATCAATTCCTGTGAGAACTAATCCAGATCCAGTCTTAAAATAGGAAGAACTCACTGACTATCTTGAGAACAGCACCAAGCCATTCATGAGGGATCTGCCCTTATGACCCAAACACTTCCCACTAGGCCCCACCTCCCAACACTACCACATTGGGAATCAAGTTTCAACACGAGCTTTGGCAGGAACAACAACAACAGCAAAACCATGCCCAAATCATAGCAGTGCATATATGTTTATTATTGTTACATCTTCTTGATAAATTGACCCTTTATCAATGAATAGTGAATTTGCTTGTCTTTTGTAATTTTAACTTCATGTCTATTTCATCTGATATTAGTGTAGTTATACCAGCTCTGTTTTGGCAACTATTTGTGTGGAATATCATTTTCTGTCTGTTTATTTTCAGCCTATTTGTATCTTTGGACCTAAAGTTAGTCTCTTGTGGGCAGACAACATGCTTTTATTTTTTAATCCATCCTGCCAGTTTTTGTCTTTTAACTGGTGAGTTTCAGTTATTTATATTTAAAGTGATTACTGATAAGGAAAGATTTACTTTTGCTACTTTGCTCTTAGTTTTATATATTTGTTATGTTTTCCCCCCAATTCTTTCAATATTGCTTTCTTGTTTAATTGATTTTTTTCTAATACAAAGTTTGGATTTCCTCCTAATTTTCTTTTCTGAATATTTAAAAATTATTTTCTTAGGAGCTGCCATGTACTTTCAATTAACATCCTAACTTTTTTTTAAAATAATCAATAGTTATCTCTCTGTATCTATGGAAGGTTGGTTCCAGGACCTCCCTTGGACCCCAAATCCTCAGATGCTCAAGTCTATATATAAGATGGTGTAGTATTTGCATATAATGTACACACATCTTCCTGTATACTTTAAACCATCTCTAGATTACTTACAATGCCTAATAAAATGTAAATGTTATATGAATAGCGGTTATGCTGTACTATTTTTCAAATCCATATGATTTCTAGTCATATTATCTGTGTTGATTTTTTTCAAATATTTTTGACCTTTGGTTGGTCAAATCCTCAGGTACAGAATGTGCAGGTACTGAGAAATAATTACAATTATTATCATTATGAAGAAATTTCAATACTGTAATTGAAATTTGTATCAGGTTAGCTTTAATAATATACAAAAACTCTGCTCCTATACAGCTGTCTCTTCCTAAATTACATCTTTATACATTGTCTCCCATTAACACATATTTATAATAATTTTATGCATTTGTCTTTTAAATTATATATGAAACAAAAAGAAAATTTACAAGGCAAAAACATAATAGTGGCTTTTGTATTTACCAATGTAGTTACCTTTACCAGAGTAGTTCTTTAAGGAAAAGAAAAAAGAAAGAAAGAACTACTCTGGTAAAAGTAACTACATTGGGTTTTTTGTCTGTCTGTTTGTTTGTTTTTTAGGCAAGGACTTGCACCCAGGCTGAACTACAGTAGCATTGCATGATCTTGACTTACTGCAGCCTCAACTTCACAGGCTCAAGCAATCCTCCCACTTTAGCCTCCAAAGTAGCTGGGACCACAGGGATGTGCTACCATGCCTGGTTAATTTTTCTATTTTTTGCAGAGATGGGGTCTCCCTATGTTGCCCAGGCTGGTCTTGAACTCCTGAGCTCAAGTGATCCTCCCACCTCAGCCTCTCAAAATACTGAGATTATAGGCATGATCCACCATGCCCAGCTTTATTTCTTTGTATGCCTTCTAACTCCAATCTTACGTCTTTTCATCCTGGAGAACTCTTTTTAATAGTTCTTGTAGGGCAGGTTGGCTAGTGATGAACTCTCTCAACTTTAATAGGGATATCTTAATTTTTGCTTCATTTCTGCAGTAGAATTTAGCCACATATAGAATTTTTGGTTGACAGCTTTTTTTTTTTTATTTCAGCACTTTAAATATGTAATCTACTGTCTTTTGGCCGACCTAGCTTCTGATGATAAATTGGCTGTTAAACTTATCAAGGATCCTTTGTACATCATGAGTCAATTATTCCTTGCTGCTTTCAAGATTCTCTGTCTGTCTTTGTCTTTTGAGAGGTTTATTATAGTATGTCTTGGTATGTATCCCTTTGAGTTTATCCTTCGTGGAGTTTGCTCAGCAACTTGGATGTATGGACTCATGTTTTCTTTTTATCAAAAGTCACTACCTCTTAATATTGTTGAAGTTTATTGAGTTATTATGTTTAGAGAACTAAAACAATGCCTGGCATATAACACCATTATGAAATATCAGTGTCTGTTTTTTAGTGTCAATCACTTCTGTCTAAATCTGAAAGGATCTAATCAAAACTCTAGTAAATACATATCCTCTCTGTGTCCCAATTTTCTCATCCTCAAATGTAAATAACAATAATACCAATCTCACAAGGTAGCTGTGAGAATTAATTGAGTTAATACATTTAAGAATTTATATATCTGGCAAATACTAATTTGCTATTATTACTATAATAATAATTATTATTGGTTGTAAATTCTAGTATATAAAAATCCCAGATTGAAGTTGCCAGTTTGTCTTGTAAGGAGGTTGGAAGTTGTCATTCCCATTTTCACAACAAGTAAAAAGCTGAAAAAACTGAAAATTAACCATTTTTTGTAGCTCCATCAGATAATTGAGGTCACAGGGCTAACCACTGCTTCCCAAGTTGGGAGTGAAATCATTGCTGGAGCCAGTACCAGGGTAGGAAAACATAAACTATAATGGATAAATTGCTGGAGTTTCAGTGTGGACAAACTTGACCTCTCAAAGGTCAAGTCTTAAGGGGTCCCACACAATCGTACATTTTGTCTTCAGTATCCCTACTAAGTTCTCACAATGAGAATTAAAAAAAAATCTCCCCATGTTTCTGGCATGGGGAGGAGAAAGTAGTCATTCTGAAATGTACACAGAGAATTCTACGGATGGTTCAACTTATAATTTTTTGACTTTATGATAGTGTGTAAGCAATATGCATTCAGTAGAAATTATATTTTGAATTTTGAGTTTTGATCTTTTCCAGGGCTAGCAATATAAGACACAATAATCTTTCTTGGTGCTGGGCAGTGGCAGCAAACCACAGCTCCTGGTCAGCCACATGATCACAAGGGTAAACAACTGATACTCTAAGGTGTACTGTGTTGCAAATAATTTTGTGTTTTTGTAAACCATCATGTATACAAAATGTCCATCTGTGTCTCCTGCTTCGAAGAAGAAGAAGAGGAGGAAGAAGAAGAAAGAAGAAGAAGGAAGAAAAAGAAGAAGAAGGATAAGGAGAAGGAAGAAGAAAGAAGAAAAGAAGAAGAAAGAAGGAAGGAGGAAGAAGGAAGAAGACGGAAGAAGAAGAAGAAAGAAGAAGAAGAAGAAAGCAATTACCTTTTTTTTTGAGGCAGGGTCTAGCTCTGTTGCCCGGGCTGGAGTGCGGTGGGCGCAATCATGGCTCACTGCAATCTCTGCCTCCCAGGCACAAGCGATCCTCCCATCTCACCTTCAGAGTAGCTGAGACTACAGGTGCATGCCACCATGCCAGCTAATTTTTTTGTAGGGACAGGGTTTCACCATGTTGCCCAGGCTGGTCTCGAACTCCTAGACTCAAGCGACCTACCCACCTTGGCTTCCCAAAGCACTGAGATTACAGGAATGAGCCACCATGCCCAGCCACAATTACTCTTTAAGGTAAAATTTTACTTAATTGCCCAGCATAAAGGCATTAAGCCAGTAATGGCCACTGCACATGTTAGAACCTTCACAATTGACAATCTCAACCATCTTAAAGGATAAGAAGCAAATAACTAATGCAGTGAAATTATCAATATTGGTTAAATCCACTCTCATCACAAAGGAAAGAGCTGGGCTAACTGATTATATGAAAAAAAATTATTTGTCATCGGGATGGAAAACCAGATAGAGACGAACATACCATTTAACCTACTGATGATCCAGGCTAAGGCAAGAAGTCTTTTCAACACATTAAAAGAATATGCAGATGATCCTAGATATATGCAAATGTTTACAGCAAGTCATGGGTAGTTCCAACGCTTCAAAAAGTGTCATAATTTTCATAATGTGAGGCCAGTGGTGAGGCAGCAAGTGCCAATACTGAAGGTGCTAAAGCTTTTAAGGAAGAGCTGCACAGGATAATTATAGACAAGAAATATTTTCCAGAACCAATATTTAATGTTGATGAAATGAGGTTGTTCTAGGAGTATATGTCAGAGCATACACACATTTATGAAGAGTCCAAGACAATGCCAGGATTCAGCACATTCAAAGACCGTTTTGCATTCTGCTTTTGAGTGGAAATGTTGAGGAGTTCAAATTAAAGTCTTTTCTAACCTAACACTCAGATAACTCTAGAGCATCCAAGAATGTGAGCAAGCAGACATTTCCTAATTATTGTCATCATAACAAGGAAGCCTGGGTGACATCTGCATTGTTTGAAGACTAATTTTTGACTATTTCATTCTGCAGGCAAGAGACTATTGTAGGAAATACAATATCCCATTCAAGATGTTTCTGATCTTAAATATTGCTCCAGGGCATTCACAATGTATCAGTGACATGCATTCTGATATAAAGGTTGTATATCTCAACCCTGAACACAGCCACACATTCTACCAAGGGACCAAGATGCAATAGCTCCATTCAAAGCATACCATTTATTCCGAAGCATACTGTTTCCCCTTCCATTCAATCTGCACCAATGATGAGCCCTAGACACCATCTGCTATTCAAGAAGTTTGTTCTGGTAGAGCTCTTACAAGGATGATAGCAGAAGCAGGCCAGTGGCATGGGTTAGATAAAACCAGAGGGTCAGATGACTGATTGACTGGGAGGGTCTCTGTCCAGACAACATTTTCAAAGTTTAGGGAATCTTTCCCACTTTTTTCATATCTGTGTTCAGTCCAGGTTAATTACCAGATTATTCTTTCATAAAGGGGGTTTAAGCTATTTTTGTAAGGGTAAGTTTTGTTTTAAGGCTTCTGAAAGTTGTATCTGTACAGAGGTACCCTTGTGCTCTAGGCCTTGCCTTCTGGAAATCACCATATCAGGTTGGAAATCCCTGGTCAGTTTGCATCATACTGCTGAGTAACACATAGTGCCATCCCTGTGGCATGATTAAGCGGTCTTTACGGCTACCATTAATCTTACAATATGTTTTCAGGTTCTAATGGGAAAAGTAGGCAACATGCAAGAACAAATGGGTACTCTAATAGAGAGAGGGAAACTCTAAGGATCAAAATGAAACAGCAGAAATGAAAAACAATGTAGCAGAAATGAAGAATGCTTTGATGGGCCCATCAATAGACTGGACATGCCAAGGAAAGAATCAGTGCTTGAAGATACGTCAGTAGAAACTTCCAAAATGGAAATGCCAAGAACAAAAAGAGAATGAAAAAGTCAGAAAAGAAAATCCAAGAACTGTGGGAGAATTACAAAAGGTGTAACATACATATAATGGAAATACCAGGAAAAAAAAAGAGAAAGGAGCAGAATAAATATTTGAAGTAACAGTGACAGAATTTCCTCAAATTAATGTCAGATACAAAACAACAGATTCAGTAAGCTCAGAAAAGCCCGAGTAAGATAAATATAAAAAAATATACACCTAGGCATGTCATATTCAAACTGCAGAAAATCAAAGACAAAAAATTCCTCAAAGAAGCCAGAGGAATAAAACACCTTACCTATAGAGAAATAAGGAAAATAATTAAACTGGACCACTCCTCAGAAACTGTGCAAGCAAGAAGAGAGTTAATTGAAATTTTTAAGGTGTTGAAAAAAATCAACAATCTAGAATTCTGTACCCAGCAAAATCATCATTCCATGTGAAGGAGAAATAACGCCTTTCTCAGACAAACAAAATTTGAGGAAATTTTTGCCAGTAGACCTGATTGGCAAGAAATGTTAAAAGAAGTTCTTCAGAAAGAAGGAAAACATTACAGATGAGAAACTCAGATCTACATAAAGAAAAGAAGAACATTAGAGAAGGAATAAATGAAGAGAAATAAAATTTATTTTTTAATTCTTAAGTGATCTAACAGATAGCAATTTGTTCAAAATAACAGCTATATTTGGTAATTATAGCTTATAAATAAATGAAATGAATTATAACAATGTTATAAAGGATGTGAGGAAAGAATTGGAAATACTCTCTTATAAGATACTTGCACTACCCATGAAGTAGTAGTACATTATTTGAAAGCAGACTTGGAGTAGTTGTAAATGTATATTGCAAAGTCTAAGGCAACCACTTTTAAAAGTTTTAAAAGTATAATTAATATGTTAAAAGAGAGAATAAAATTGTATAAAATTCTCAATTAAAAACAGAGAAGGCAAAAAACCAGTGTCAGACAAAAAAAAACATACAAGGGAGGAGCCAAGATGGCCGAATAGGAACAGCTCCGGTCTACAGCTCCCAGCGTGAGCGACGCAGAAGATGGGTGATTTCTGCATTTCCATCTGAGGTACCGGGTTCATCTCACTAGGGAGTGCCAGACAGTGGGCGCAGGCCAGTGTGTGTGCATACCGTGCGCGAGCCGAAGCAGGGCGAGGCATTGCCTCACCTGGGAAGTGCAAGGGGTCAGGGAGTTCCCTTTCCGAGTCAAAGAAAGGGGTGACGGACGCACCTGGAAAATCGGGTCACTCCCACCCGAATATTGCGCTTTTCAGACCGGCTTAAGAAATGGCGCAACACGAGACTATATCCCACACCTGGCTCAGAGGGTCCTACGCCCACGGAATCTCGCTGATTGCTAGCACAGCAGTCTGAGATCAAACTGCAAGGCGGCAACGAGGCTGGGGGAGGGGCGCCCGCCATTGCCCAGGCTTGCTTAGGTAAACAAAGCAGCCGGGAAGCTCGAACTGGGTGGAGCCCACCACAGCTCAAGGAGGCCTGCCTGCCTCTGTAGGTTCCACCTCTGGGGGCAGGGCACAGACAAACAAAAAGACAGCAGTAACCTCTGCAGACTTAAGTGTCCCTGTCTGACAGCTTTGAAGAGGGCAGTGGTTCTCCCAGCACGCAGCTGGAGATCTGAGAACGGGCAGACTGCCTCCTCAAGTGGGTCCCTGACCCCTGACCCCCGAGCAGCCTAACTGGGAGGCACCCCCCAGCAGGGGCACACTGACACCTCACACGGCAGGGTATTCCAACAGACCTGCAGCTGAGGGTCCTGTCTGTTAGAAGGAAAACTAACAACCAGAAAGGACATCTACACCGAAAACCCATCTGTACATCACCATCATCAAAGACCAAAAGTAGATAAAACCACAAAGATGGGGAAAAAACAGAACAGAAAAACTGGAAACTCTAAAACGCAGAGCGCCTCTCCTCCTCCAAAGGAACGCAGTTCCTCACCAGCAACAGAACAAAGCTGTATGGAGAATGATTTTGACGAGCTGAGAGAAGAAGGCTTCAGACGATCAAATTACTCTGAGCTACGGGAGGACATTCAAACCAAAGGCAAAGAAGTTGAAAACTTTGAAAAAAATTTAGAAGAATGTATAACTAGAATAACCAATACAGAGAAGTGCTTAAAGGAGCTGATGGAGCTGAAAACCAAGGCTCGAGAACTACGTGAAGAATGCAGAAGCCTCAGGAGCCGATGCGATCAACTGGAAGAAAGGGTATCAGCAATGGAAGATGAAATGAATGAAATGAAGCGAGAAGGGAAGTTTAGAGAAAAAAGAATAAAAAGAAATGAGCAAAGCCTCCAAGAAATATGGGACTATGTGAAAAGACCAAATCTACGTCTGATTGGTGTACCTGAAAGTGATGGGGAGAATGGAACCAAGTTGGAAAACACTCTGCAGGATATTATCCAGGAGAACTTCCCCAATCTAGCAAGGCAGGCCAACGTTCAGATTCAGGAAATACAGAGAACGTCACAAAGATACTCCTCGAGAAGAGCAACTCCAAGACACATAATTGTCAGATTCACCAAAGTTGAAATGAAGGAAAAAATGTTAAGGGCAGCCAGAGAGAAAGGTCGGGTTACCCTCAAAGGAAAGCCCATCAGACTAACAGCGGATCTCTCGGCAGAAACCCTACAAGCCAGAAGAGAGTGGGGGCCAATATTCAACATTCTTAAAGAAAAGAATTTTCAACCCAGAATTTCATATCCAGCCAAACTAAGCTTCATAAGTGAAGGAGAAATAAAATACTTTATAGACAAGCAAATGCTGAGAGATTTTGTCACCACCAGGCCTGCCCTAAAAGAGCTCCTGAAGGAAGCGCTAAACATGGAAAGGAACAACCGGTACCAGCCGCTGCACAATCATGCCAAAATGTAAAGACCATCGAGACTAGGAAGAAACTGCATCAACTAATGAGCAAAATCACCAGCTAACATCATAATGACAGGATCAAATTCACACATAACAATATTAACTTTAAATATAAATGGACTAAATTCTGCAATTAAAAGACACAGACTGGCAAGTTGGATAAAGAGTCAAGACCCATCAGTGTGCTGTATTCAGGAAACCCATCTCATGTGCAGAGACACACATAGGCTCAAAATAAAAGGATGGAGGAAGATCTACCAAGCCAATGGAAAACAAAAAAAGGCAGGGGTTGCAATCCTAGTCTCTGATAAAACAGACTTTAAACCAACAAAGATCAAAAGAGACAAAGAAGGCCATTACATAATGGTAAAGGGATCAATTCAACAAGAGGAGCTAACTATCCTAAATATTTATGCCCCCAATACAGGAGCACCCAGATTCATAAAGCAAGTCCTGAGTGACCTACAAAGAGACTTAGACTCCCACACATTAATAATGGGAGACTTTAACACCCCACTGTCAACATTAGACAGATCAACGAGACAGAAAGTCAACAAGGATACCCAGGAATTGAACTCAGCTCTGCACCAAGCGGACCTAATAGACATCTACAGAACTCTCCACCCCAAATCAAAAGAATATACATTTTTTTCAGCACCACACCACACCTATTCCAAAATTGACCACATAGTTGGAAGTAAAGCTCTCCTCAGCAAATGTAAAAGAACAGAAATTATAACAAACTATCTCTCAGACCACAGTGCAATCAAACTAGAACTCAGGATTAAGAATCTCACTCAAAGCCGCTCAACTACATGGAAACTGAACAACCTGCTCCTGAATGACTACTGGGTACATAACGAAATGAAGGCAGAAATAAAGATGTTCTTTGAAACCAATGAGAACAAAGACACCACATACCAGAATCTCTGGGACGCATTCAAAGCAGTGTGTAGAGGGAAATTTATAGCACTAAATGCCTACAAGAGAAAGCAGGAAAGATCCAAAATTGACACCCTAACATCACAATTAAAAGAACTAGAAAAGCAAGAGCAAACACATTCAAAAGCTAGCAGAAGGCAAGAAATAACTAAAATCAGAGAAGAACTGAAGGAAATAGAGACACAAAAAACCCTTCAAAAAATCAATGAATCCAGGAGCTGGTTTTTTGAAAGGATCAACAAAATTGATAGACCGCTAGCAAGACTAATAAAGAAAAAAAGAGAGAAGAATCAAATAGACACAATAAAAAACGATAAAGGGGATATCACCACCGATCCCACAGAAATACAAACTACCATCAGAGAATACTACAAACACCTCTACGCAAATAAACTAGAAAATCTAGAAGAAATGGATACATTCCTCGACACATACACTCTCCCAAGACTAAACCAGGAAGAAGTTGAATCTCTGAATAGACCAATAACAGGCTCTGAAATTGTGGCAATAATCAATAGTTTACCAACCAAAAAGAGTCCAGGACCAGATGGACTCACAGCCGAATTCTACCAGAGGTACAAGGAGGAACTGGTACCATTCCTTCTGAAACTATTCCAATCAATAGAAAAAGAGGGAATCCTCCCTAACTCATTTTATGAGGCCAGCATCATTCTGATACCAAAGCCGGGCAGAGACACAACCAAAAAAGAGAATTTTAGACCAATATCCTTGATGAACATTGATACAAAAATCCTCAATAAAATACTGGCAAACCGAATCCAGCAGCACATCAAAAAGCTTATCCACCATGATCAAGTGGGCTTCATCCCTGGGATGCAAGGCTGGTTCAATATACGCAAATCAATAAATGTAATCCAGCATATAAACAGAGCCAAAGACAAAAACCACATGATTATCTCAATAGATGCAGAAAAAGCCTTTGACAATATTCAACAACCCTTCATGCTAAAAACTCTCAATAAATTAGGTATTGATGGGACGTATTTCAAAATAATAAGAGCTATCTATGACAAACCCACAGCCAATATCATACTGAATGGGCAAAAACTGGAAGCATTCCCTTTGAAAACTGGCACAAGACAGGGATGCCCTCTCTCACCGCTCCTATTCAACATAGTGTTGGAAGTTCTGGCCAGGGCAATCAGGCAGGAGAAGGAAATAAAGGGTATTCAATTAGGAAAAGAGGAAGTCAAATTGTCCCTGTTTGCAGACGACATGATTGTTTATCTAGAAAACCCCATCGTCTCAGCCCAAAATCTCCTTAAGCTGATAAGCAACTTCAGCAAAGTCTCAGGATACAAAATCAATGTACAAAAATCACAAGCATTCTTATACACCAACAACAGACAAACAGAGAGCCAAATCATGAGTGAACTCCCATTCACAATAGCTTCAAAGAGAATAAAATACCTAGGAATCCAACTTACAAGGGATGTGAAGGACCTCTTCAAGGAGAACTACAAACCACTGCTCAAGGAAATAAAAGAGGACACAAACAAATGGAAGAACATTCCATGCTCATGGGTAGGAAGAATCAATATCGTGAAAATGGCCATACTGCCCAAGGTAATTTACAGATTCAATGCCATCCCCATCAAGCTACCAATGACTTTCTTCACAGAATTGGAAAAAACTACTTTAAAGTTCATATGGAACCAAAAAAGAGCCCGCATCGCCAAGTCAATCCTAAGCCAAAAGAACAAAGCTGGAGGCATCACGCTACCTGACTTCAAACTATACTACAAGGCTACAGTAACCAAAACAGCATGGTACTGGTACCAAAACAGAGATATAGATCAATGGAACAGAACAGAGCCCTCAGAAATAATGCCGCATATCTACAACTATCTGATCTTTGACAAACCTGAGAAAAACAAGCAATGGGGAAAGGATTCACTATTTAATAAATGGTGCTGGGAAAACTGGCTAGCCATATGTAGAAAGCTGAAACTGGATCCCTTCCTTACACCTTATACAAAAATCAATTCAAGATGGATTAAAGATTTAAACGTTAGACCTAAAACCATAAAAACCCTAGAAGAAAACCTAGGCATTACCATTCAGGACATAGGCGTGGGCAAGGACTTCATGTCCAAAACACCAAAAGCAATGGCAACAAAAGCCAAAATTGACAAATGGGATCTAATTAAACTAAAGAGCTTCTGCACAGCAAAAGAAACTACCATCAGAGTGAACAGGCCACCTACAACATGGGAGAAAATTTTTGCAACCTACTCATCTGACAAAGGGCTAATATCCAGAATCTACAATGAACTCAAACAAATTTACAAGAAAAAAACAAACAACCCCATCAAAAAGTGGGTGAAGGACATGAACAGACACTTCTCAAAAGAAGACATTTATGCAGCCGAAAAATACATGAAGAAATGCTCATCATCACTGGCCATCAGAGAAATGCAAATCAAAACCACTATGAGATATCATCTCACACCAGTTAGAATGGCAATCATTAAAAAGTCAGGAAACAACAGGTGCTGGAGAGGATGTGGAGAAATAGGAACACTTTTACACTGTTGGTGGGACTGTAAACTAGTTCAACCATTGTGGAAGTCAGTGTGGCGATTCCTCAGGGATCTAGAACTAGAAATACCATTTGACCCAGCCATCCCATTACTGGGTATATACCCAAAGGACTATAAATCATGCTGCTATAAAGACACATGCACACGTATGTTTATTGCGGCACTATTCACAATAGCAAAGACTTGGAACCAACCCAAATGTCCAACAATGATAGACTGGATTAAGAAAATGTGGCACATATACACCATGGAATACTATGCAGCCATAAAAAATGATGAGTTCATGTCCTTTGTAGGGACATGGATGAAATTGGAAACCATCATTCTCAGTAAACTATCGCAAGAACAAAAAACCAAACACCGCATATTCTCACTCATAGGTGGGAATTGAACAATGAGATCACATGGACACAGGAAGGGGAATATCACACTCTGGGGACTGTGGTGGGGTCGGGGGAGGGGGGAGGGATAGCATTGGGAGATATACCTAATGCTAGATGACACGTTAGTGGGTGCAGCGCACCAGCATGGCACATGTATACATATGTAACTAACCTGCACAATGTGCACATGTACCCTAAAACTTAGAGTATAATAAAAAAAAAAATTAAAAAAAAAAAAAAAACATACAAGAAGGGCAAAATAGAAAACAGTAACAGATATGGTAGATACTGGTCCAATTATATAAAAAATCACTTTAAACATCAGTGGTCTAAATATACCAATTAAAAGACAGACAGTAGGTCAGGCGTGGTGACTTACACCTGTAATCCCAGCACTTTGTGAGCCTGAGTTGGGTGGATCACCTGAGGTCAGGAGTTCGAGACTAGCCTGGCCAATATGGCAAAACCCCATCTCTACCAAAAATACAAAAATTAGCTGGTGTGGTGGTGTGCGCCTGTAATCCCAGCTACTCAGGAGGCTGAGATAGGAGAATCGCATGAACCTGGGAGGCGGAGGTTGCAGTGAGCCAAGATTGCACCACTGCACTCTAGCCTGGGAGACACAGTGAGACTCCATCTCAAAAAAAAAAAAAGACAGTGTCAGTGAATGAAAAACCAAGACCCAACTATGTTTTTTACAAGAAACTGACTTTAACTATAAGGACATAGATTAAAAGTAAAGAAATTGGCTGGGTGTGGTGGCTCACACCTGTAATTTCAGCACTTTGGGAGGCTGAGGCAGGCAGATCACCTGAGGTCAGGAATTTGAGACCAACCTAGCCAACATGGCAAAACCCTGTCTCTACTAAAAATACAAAAATTAGCCAGATGTGGTGCCATGCGCCTGTAGTCCCAGCTACTCAGGAGGCTGAGGCAGGAGAATCTCTTGAACCCGGGAGGCAGAAGTTACAGTGAGCCGAGAGTGCGCCACTGCACTCCAGCCTGGGCAACAGAGCGAGACTCCATCTCAAAAAATAAAAAATAAATAATAAAAATAAAAAAATAAAAAAGTAAAGGGATGGAGAAAGATATGCCATGCTAACACTAATCAAAACCAAGCTGGAGTCACTGTATTAATTTCAGGCAAAGCAGATTTAAGAGCAAGGAAAATTATTAGGGATAAAGAGGAATATTATTTATTTAATGATAAAGATGTTGGTTTTCCAAGAAGACATAACAATTCCTAATGTGTATGAAGGTAACAACAAAACATCAAAATATGTGAAGTAAAAACTGATAGAACTGCAAGGAGAAATAAACAAATCCACTCTTATGTTGGCGAATTCAATACCCCTTTATCTGTAATTGACAGATCCAGCAGATAGAAAATCAGTAAGGACTTAGTTGAGCTGAACAGCACCATTAATCAACCATTGCTAATTGACATTTACAGAATATTGCATCCAACAACAGCAGAATACACATTCTTCTCAAGCTCACACAGACATTTGCCAATGTAGAGTGTATTCTGGGCCATAAAAGACAGCTCACAAATTTAATGGAATAGGAATTATACAAAGTATGCTGTCAGACTATAATACAATTAAACTAGAACTCAATAATGAAAAGTCAGAAAATCTCAAAATATTTGGAGATTAAACAACACACTTTTAAACACATGGGTGGGTCAAAGAGGAAGTCTCAAGAGAAAAAAGAGATTAAAATGTTCAATTGAGGAAAACTATTCATAAAAACTGTTATCTCTATGTGTTCAGAAAGTTTCTTTGTGATACTCAAAGTATAAGTGGAGAAAATAGTGGAATGTAAGAGT
Organism: Homo sapiens; assembly: GCF_000001405.40. Taxonomy (NCBI): domain Eukaryota; kingdom Metazoa; phylum Chordata; class Mammalia; order Primates; family Hominidae; genus Homo; species Homo sapiens. The sequence goes on along the minus strand of NW_003315956.1, from coordinate 50,159 downwards.
TTCAGTTTTATCAGAAAAAATTAAAGTCCACTTACTGTTCATTTTTGTCAATGAAATGATAGCTTTTCAGAGATACAAAGAGGATTTTCATTATTACTTTTAAAAGAGCATAGCCTATAGAGTGCATATGTGTGAAGATGCACAGTTGAACAAAATTGAACAGATATAAGGGAGGGTAAGAAAAAGATAGAATGATAATGAGAAGTGGGTTGAAGACAAGAAGGGAAAAGATTGTCAACATCACAGAAAGTAGTAGCAAAGACAAGTCTGGGACATCTATAGGGTGCCAGAGGTAGGCCTGAGAAGGTGAGGAGGCTCAAGGATTTCCTGTTGGTCAACCTGACATTTTCAGGTGAAACATAATTTCACTAGGTGTTAAGGGAGAGAGAACATAAACAAAATAACAAAATACAAGAAAACACATACAAAATGTAGATCACAAATACAGGTTGCCATATTTTATCAACTCAGTCCCATCAGAATGGTCAATTTTTTAAACCTATTTTCTGGCTTCCTTACATCCCCACTTCCCAGTCTGCACCATAAAGCGGATGGGTTTCCCTGGTTCTCCTCTGGAGGCATCATACATCGTCCCCATGTCCAGACAGAGGAACTATCTAAATTACCAAATTACCTTTTGATGCCAGTTTGTACTCAGTGACTGAAACATTCACTTAATGTTAAGCATACTTGTAGCTGCTCTCCACAGCAATTGGGCAAAGTACTTCAGGTCTGCAATGCTTGTTGTACAAATTTATACAAGGCAGAAAGACTTTCTGGCATGTTTCTTTGGTTGCTCACTTTCTAGAATCTGATAAACAGCATCATTGTTGACACTTCTCAATGGAGAGGTTCCCAAAATTCTATCAAGCAGAGTCTTGTTTTCAACATTTCTTCTAGTGGGCTGAGCTCCCTCCTTTTTAAGAGATGGAGATCAAAATCAGTTACCTTATTATGACAGAGTTCTAACTAGGCTTAAATGGCTGCAGACATAGTTCAAATAAAATTACCTCACCTGCCACCCGTTCTAATTTAACAGGCAGAAAAAAAGTTTTATTGAAACAGAAGCAATCATTTTTATTTTTATCTGGTGGTTTACAGATATATGTGTGTGTGTGCATATATATAATTTAAATGTCAGGGCATGTTTGTGCAGATGTAATTTAAATTTTATGTTTATATATATGTAATTTAAATGCTGGAAGAATTACACATTTTGTGTATTTATTTATTTATTTACTTTGAGACAGAGTCTCACTCTGTGCCCCAGGCTGGAGTGCAGTGGCACAATCTCGGCTCACTGCAACTTCCGCCTCCCGGGTTCAAGTGACTGTCCTGCCTCAGCCTCTCGAGTAGCTGGGATTACAGGCGTATGGCACCACACCCGGTTGATTTTTGTATTTTTAGTAGAGATGGGGTTTCGCCATGTTGGCCAGGCGGGTCACGAACTATTGACCTCAAGTGATCCACCCGCCTCGGCCTCCCAAAGTGCTGAAATTACAGGCGTGAGCCACCACTCCTGGCCAGAATTACATATTTTATACAGCACAAAGCAAGATGATAAATGGCACCTGATACATAACAAACTGTCTTGAAAGTACAAAGACAAAAGCAGGAAGACTCTTGATAAAATGCCAGGAAAGAAAAACTGCCACATGGTGATTGAAAACTTTTGTGGTGTGATAGGTGGCTCCTGGCAGAGAATAGGAAAAATTGAAGAGCAGCCTTGAGTAGCACGACTCTGATGGTGTAGACCGGATCCCTCCTCCTCCTCTGATTGTCCTCAAGGCCCACAAGACAGTGGGGACTATGGGGACTACTGTAGTCACAAGGTTCCTCAGGTGCTCCAGATGGCTTCGGGAGCACCCAGTGGCTCCAGCTTCTGACTCCCGGCTGGGCGGCAGCCTCCAGCTGGCCTGCGTGGTGGGTTTCTCAGCCTCGTGCTCCAGGTTGTGTCAAGGTCCCCAAGGCCCGTGACGCCCTCCCTGCCTTCCGTGAGGACACCGCATGGCCACTTGGGGGCGCTCCTTGTCTCGCCTGCCCTCGGGCATGGGCCTGAGAGGCCCAGCTCTACCACCTGCCGCCCTAGACGTGAAGGCGGAGGGTCGAGTTTTTCCGCAGTGAGATCGCCTTGGTGGTGGGCTCCTCCTGCCACCAACTTGGCTTTTCCCGCGACGGTGAAGGGCCGCGAGGCTCCCCTGAGGGCCATCCGGGCTGTGGGGCTTCCCGGGACAGTGCAGGATGGGCTACTTGCATGAGACAAAATGGCAGGTTCTAGTCTCTTTGGTTCCCATGGTGATGGGGCCCATTTCCGGTGGGCCTTCCCTCTCAGAGGATTACCCTTCTCCGCGTGGGGCTGCCATGACAACCAAACGGTTATGTCCTTCAAGGACCAGAAGTGTCCAGCCAGCTGTTTGGCATTGTGCAGCAAAAGCTGAAAGGTCCCACTCTCAATGTTGTCCTCATAGTAACAATGCCTTTGGGGATACACATGGGTCCCTAGGCTCAGCCTAGCTCAACAGTCATGGTTCCATTTAACATGAGAGGGTGACTAGGTACGAGTTGTTTGAAAGATAAGGAAAGCTTTTTCTCATCCACCATAATCAGCTTGACCAATCTTATAAATAAGTTCTCTATTTGGACAACCATAATTTGGGGTCTTGAAGGGCTCTCACTGTCCCAGACAACCCTTGGAGTGTCTCCTGAGATGAGGATGGGAGCATGTCACAGAAGGGTGCTTGTTTGGGATGCAGCACATCCATGGCCTGCTCCCTGTTTTCAAGGAACTTCTAATCTAAAATGAAAACAACTGGTGTGGAGTCCTAATTAGGGAAAAGGAGTCAAGCTGGCAGTACCAAGGAAAAGCAATAAGAGAAATCAGATAAGCTATAAGTCTGCCTTTCTTCAAGCCTTGAATTGGCTATGCAGTTAAGATATCTGGAACTCTCCCTCTACATTGTGAACCATCCTCTGTGGAAGGTGATTGGACTGTGAGCATTTTTGGTTTCTATATTATTACTGCTTTAAAGTTATCACCTCAATCACGGTGGGACTGGAAAATGAGCCTCTTGTGAGCCTGTCGGGGCTAACTGAACCGCACTTCCACGTGGGGCATCCCGTCAATGAAAAGGGTTCCACTCAGCTCTGCTGAGGCACTCAGGTGCACTTTCTAACGGGGTGTCTCACCTATTAGGAAAGACCAAGGCAGCTGCTGGGCGGGAAGGATGGGTGCATAAAAGGACTATGGTGGCAGGAGGCCAGGGAGATGCCTCTCCTGAAGAATGTTGATGTCCAGACAAGTCACATGAACTACTGACCTAAGGACCTGGATTCATTTGTTAGTGCAGACCAGTTCCAACAGGCCAGACTCCTCTATCCACACTTAGGCAATTAGAGTTATTGATCCAGCCCCTGCTCGGTGCAGAGCTCCATGGAGGCAGAATAGTGAATACAATGAGCCCTGAATAGTTTACCCTTCACCCCTTAGGGGCCTCCTCTCTGTTTTCAAGGAACTTCTAATCTAAAGTGAAAACAACTGGTGTGGAGTCCTAATTAGGGAAACGGAGTCAAGCTGGCAGGACCAAAGGAAAGCAGAAAGAGAAATCAGATAAGCTATAAGTCTGCCTTTCTTCATGGTCCAGGACACATAGCCCTCCTGCGCAAATAACTCACAATCTTCCCGTGCCCAGCTATCACCAGACTCTCTACTAATAGAAAAATTCAAGTTAGCTCACTGCAATCTTGGCATTGTCAGTACTGCACAAAGCCCTCTTCAGCACACAGAAGTACCATCCTGTAAAATCCCCAGCAAGGCTTTGTTTCCTTGCTGTCAGCTCCTCTCTTGCTAATCTGCCTGTTGCACCCTTACAACATATTTTCATACTTTCTCTAACATGTCTGCTTTTCTTTACCTACAGTTGTCTTGGTAAATTCTTAACCCCATGCCACTGGCCCCAGATAGTCGCTAATCATCCGTGACATTTTGGTGGCCCATATGGGGAACTCTCTTTATGGGGAACCCTCTCCTCTCTCTCTTCCTCTTTCCCAACTTGCAATCCTCAGTGGACAGTGTCTAAACACAGAGACAGCTGTAGGTCCCTGGCTAGAGCTACACTCTGGTGGGACTGAAAGGCATCTGTGTGGAAGTGTCTGACCACCACTGCCCTTTCAGGTGAGGGACCTGAGTTTATTTTCTCTTTTCAGTCTCCCAGCAGCTGGCTTCTATTATCCCTCTGGAAATTAATGATAACTGGCCAGGGCCACTCTCCAGTGTTGCCTGAAGCCAAAGGGTGAACAGGGCTGGCTGCCTTGCCTAAAAGGGAAAAAGACTCTCCCCTTTCTTTTCTAGTAAAAAGTCCCTAATCCCTACCTGTGACATGACTGACAGTGGAAGCTCCTTAAGGGCAAATTCATACATGTTTTAGGTGACTTAGACCCTCTCCTTCTCACTCTGGATTCTCCTGTGGAGCCAAACTGTTCTGGGCATTGCTAAATCAAGTGGTCTCAAACAGCCTCAGAACAGTGAGTCTTCCTTTACCCACCCCCATCTCCTGGGCGGGCACCAGACAGACCTCTTCCTTTACCCTTTTTCCCCATAGGTGGGCTGATCACCCAGTGTAAGGCCCACAGGCAACTGAGAGGTCTTTCCTAATAGGTGAGACACCCCGTTAGAAAGTGCACTTGAGTCCCTCAGCAGACCTGAGTGGAACCCTTTTCATTGACGGGATGCCCCACGTGGAAGTGCGGTTCAGTTAGCCCCGACAGGCTCACGAGAGGCTCATTTTCCAGTCCTACCATGAGACAAACCCCGTCTATTTCTTCAGATTCACCTCTGGGTTGCGTCCTAAAACATTAAGAGAAATTTAACCCTGAGACTCTCAAAAAGAAATGTCTATTTTTCTTGTGTACTACAGCATGGCTCCTATGCAGAAAATCCTCTAATTAGCCTCCTCAGTCTTTTATAACCAAGAGTAGAACAGGGTTAGAAAGAAAAAAACAAATGCAGAGGCAAAACACAGACTCAACTGTTGGCTGCTTTACAAGCACCAGCCCCTTCCAGGTTTCCCTAAGAACACTCTTCCAGGTTACTGCCATCGGTACAGAAGGCCAGGCCACTGAAAAGCAAACTGCCCCAATAAAAGAAATGGAAAAAGCCCTGCATGGCTTGCCCCTCTGCCACAAGCTTGACCACTAGAAATAGGACTGTCATGAGAGCCAAAGGGCCCCCAGGACAAAATGCCAACACCTGATGGCCTTGAGCTGAAGGGGCTCTCTACTCCCCCTGTAAACAGCTCACCTTAACTAGTGACTTGCAGGGGTGGAAGGAATTTGTTCCACACTGTGTAGGTCTGGGGTGCTAAGGTTCTCTGTGACACGAGATAAACAAGGATGGCAGGGGTGCTGGCCCCACATCATGCAGTGGCTGAAAGGCTCACAAGCCCTCCTATAAAGCTTAATCTTTTCCTCTGCATTCCTTTCTTTTCTTTTTCTCTTTTTCTGTTCAATCCAGGAGCTCAGACTTAAAGGGAAAAACAGGCCGGGCATGTTGGCTCATCCCTGTAATCCTAGCACTTTGGGAGGCCAAGGTAGGTGGATCGCTTGAGCCCAGGAATTTGAGACCAGCCTGGGCAACATAGTGAAACCCCATCTCTGTATTTAAAAAAAAAAAAAGAAAAGAAAAGAAAAAACGGTTTCGAACATCCTATCTTCTAATTTTGTTGTTCCCTTTGAAACTATAGCTGATTACATATTATGGCTCATTTTTGTGTACATTTTAAACTGATAGGCAAATTACAAGAAAAATTCAGAGCTCAAATGGTTAACCTATGCCATAGACTTAAGTAGACTCTTTTAAAGCTCTCTATCTTCCTCTCTTTTTCTCTCCCTGCTTTAAATCTGCTGTTACTAAGCGGCTGGTACTGAGATAAGACATTATTTATGGTCAAACTAGAATATAAACATTAAAAACTCATTTAAAGTTAAAAAAAAGGTAAAAGAGGTTTTGTTAAACCAAAGAACTTAGAATTTTTTAACCTTACTTAAAGTTAATAAAAATAAATCCAATACTTCTTTTAGACCTTATTCTTCAAGCTGATTATTTTTATTCAATTCTATTAAAATTAATGGCAAAAGCTGCAGTTACTTTTGCACCAAGCTAATACTACAGGCTCTCAGTAATTATTTACCTGTCTCTCTCGAGCAACTTCACCCTCTTAATACTGATGCTTTTATAAGAGAGGTAGTATACAATTGATATTTTCAGGGGAACCTCCAAGACTACCACCCAGATGAAATTTTTTTATATTTATCCTAGTAATGTCATTTACTCCCACACCACAACATCAATGTGCTGAGGTACTAGGTGTTAGCCCTTCTTCTCTCGTATCTCCCTGAGTTTACTATATATTGTCATTTTCTTTAAATGTGGCTCTGTTTTTATTCTACCACGGCTAACTGTTGCCTCTATGGCTGGAGCCAGGCACTTACTCCTCCCAGTAATGTCAGGTTGCTGACATAACGCACAGCACTAACTGCTGGATATGCCCACACAGACAGACACTCGAGGATAACATTATACTCCTAGCAGTTCCGCTATCTACAGAAGAAATTATTAACAAGCCAGATACTCTGGATTCAACTACACCATTTACACGCACACCAAAAACACAGGTTTAGTAGGGGAACCTAGGCCAATTGATCCCTCGTGGCAGTCATCCACCGTGACAGAGCAGATTGGGAAGGCACCAGAGATGGCCTGTAAGGTTCACCTCTGCATCAGAAAATCTGAGGGATCCGGCCCTTTTCTAGGCATTTTAACACAAGCCTATTGCAATTCTACCCTCAATTATAATCAAACAAACTGGGAACGGGAGCCATATAATTAGACTCTGATGAGTTCAATGTGCATCCCCGCAGTTTTTCCTTATGATGGGGAAAGAAAAAGATAATGCCAGCAAAATTTATAATGATTCCTTTATGCCAATAAACAGTTCAGCAACTGGGATGGAATATATGGGAATAGGGGTCGAGACTGGACAACTTCTCAACCTCACTAATATGTCTACAGCTTTTTCTTGATTTTCTCTTATCTCATTGATATTTAAAAACCTTATCTGTCAGGCCCCACACTCACATAACACAACAAGCCAAACTTTTATCCCCTGTATTAGTCCATTCTTGCATTACTATAAATAACTACCTGAGACTGGGTAATTTACAAAGAAGAGGTTTAATTGATTCACAGTTCCACGGGCTGTACAGGACGCATGGCTGGGGATGCCTCGGGAAACTTACAATCATGGCAGAAGATGGAATGCAAAGGGGAATCAGGCACGTCTTATATGCCTGGTAGGAGTAAGAGAGAGAAGGGGGAAGTGCCACACACTTTTAAGCAACTAGAGTTCTTGAGAACTCACTGAGTATCACATGAACCGCAAGGGAGAAGTCACTTCCATGATTCCATCATCTCCCACCAGGCCCCTCCTCTAACACTGGGGATTACAATTCGCCATGAGATTTGGGTGGGAACACAGAGTGAAACCATATCACACCCCCTTATGCATGGATGACTACTTTTTGGGTCACCACCCATCCACATTTGATCCTTGGGGACCATGGGATCCCTCTATGCAAATTATACTGGAACCGAAACTAACCACATCTATGCCTGGTTACAAGGTCCCTCCTCAGGAGTTTTATTAAAAGAAACTGGGTTCTTCTTTTTATGCAAATTCAAAATGTTTCTAAACTTGCCTATTAAATGGAGAGGTACTTGCATTATAGTTGCAGCAATACCTGGGGTTCAAATATATAACTATTCAGACTTCATATCCTCTGGCCAAGTTCCAAATTTAGGATCCTTCATAAGTTGGGCCCTCCAAAGGCCATCAGGAGAAAGGAAACAGAAATGTAACTTAATCAACATCCTATCATTTGGTGTGCTTACCACTGACAATCCCACCATAGAGAGGAATGGTCTAAGAAATTCTGTAGCCCATGCAATTTTTTGGTTGGCAGGTATACCCATGCTTAAGTGCTGTATTCATTATCTCACCATTCTAGTACAGCAGTCTTGGGAAGCTACAGTCATAGCATCAAGGCCCAACAACAGGCCCTAAATTCGTTGGCAGGGGTTGTCTTGCAGAACCAACCCACTTTGAATGTGCTTACTACTGAGATAGGGGGCACCTGTATACTATTAAATGAAACTTGTTGCTTTTCCATCAGTACCTCAGGTCAGGTAGAAGAAAGTTTTAAAAAGATCAAAAAGAACATCAAGATTTTAGAGGGCCTTCAAAAAGGAGTTCTTCAAAATTCCTTTTTGACACAACTATTTCAAAGCTTCTCCAGCTGGGTTTGGCCATGGGTTGCCCCACTTCTCCCACCTATCATAATGCTCATGTTAGTTTGTTTATTTGCTCCATGTATTGTTAATGCAATATCTCATTTTGTGTCTTCTAGGATAAAACAATTTCAAACCAAAATGTTACTGTAGCAAGGGTATCAGCCACTGAGAGAACTTCATGACTCTCCTTTGGATGCAGCAGGACAAAATTTTAGGCTGCAAAGGCTCTTCCCCCATGGTCCCATAGCCACCCTGCCCAAATTAACTCCCAACTTAGGGATTTAGGCCCATGTAACCTCCTAACTAACAACAATCCTAGGTAAGGCCAACTCTACACCTCTGGTCAGCAGGAATCAGCTGAAAGACAATCACCCACATGCCAAAGATTTGTCATTGTTGCTCTGTCAGGGGGTTGGGACGGGGAAATGTGGAGTCTCAATTAGAGAAAAGGAGTCAGCCTGGCAGGACCAAGGGAAAGCAGAAAGAGAAAGCAGATAAGCTATAGATCTGCCTTTCTTCCTGGTCCAGGACAGCATAGCCCTCCTGCACAAATAACTCACAATTTTCCTGTGCCCAGCTATCACCAGACCCTCGGCTGATAGAAAAATGCAAGTTAGCTAGATGCAACCTTGTTGTTATCAGCACACAGCACCAGCACCACCCTATAAAATCCCTAGCAAGCCTTTGTCTCCTTGCATTCAGCTTCTCTCTTACTAATCTGCATGTTGCACTCTTGCAACACATTTTTATACTTTCTCTAATAAGTCTGCTTTTCTTTACCTACAACTGACTTGATAAATTCTTCTTACCCCAACACCACTGGCCCATATAGCTCCTACTCACCTGCAACAACTAGTTCATGCATTAAATCATTATTGATTAATGCAGTGGATAATGAAGTACTACATTTTCTGTAATGGTAGCTTTGGGAAGAAAAAAGAGCAATACTCAATTTTATGAAGGACAAGGAGCAATTGTAAAGGATTTCATTATGCTTCACCTTGCACATGGCACAATTAAGTCAACAAAGAGACCTTCCTCTTTAGATGCAAGGACTGTAGGACCTGAAGCTGGGAAGCATTAGACTAGAGGCTTCTGCAAAGTGTGGGATTAAAGTTGGTATTTATAGATAGGTTTCATGAGGGACAAAAAGGGATCTATTTTGATCAGATTTTATATTCATACTCGGGGATCAGCTTCCAGCCCAGAAATCAGAATCAGGCTCCAGGACTTGTAGTTGGAATCAATACAAGTGGGAAAAAAAAATCTACCAGTGAATCAGAAGTATAGGCCACCTCAATAGTTTGGATCCCTAAGGAAATAAAAGACAAAGAAGAGAAGGTCAGAGGAGAAAGATGGTGCATCTCTTCCTCCCCAGGGGTCTGAGAGTGTGATAGGAAATGTGGTGTTACAGATGCAGGTCTGAGATGAACAGTGAGGGTGAGGGTAGACTTTAAGTTGCTGAAAGAAGCTAATTCATTCTCATAAATGATTTAAATGAATGATGGCAGTTGGCAGTGGCTGAAAATGGCATATCCAAAATGAAAGGAAACTGTTACTTAATACTTTCCTCTTCTTGACCCCTTTATTTAATCCTCAGAACAGTTTTTGAGGCTTTTTGGTGGTGGTGTTGGTGATGTTTGTTTTCTTAGAGACGGGGTCTCACTCTGTCACCCAAGCTGGAGGAGTGCAGTTGGCACCACCATAGCTCACTGCAGCCTTAAACTCCTGGGCTCAAGCCTTCCAGGGAGCTGAGTAGTACAGGCATGTGCCACCATGGCCAGCTTAACCATCACCTCAATCTTGATAGGAAGATATTGATTTTGCCCATTTGCAGTTTTCAGTGACCTTGAAAATGCAAGGTAGATATTAAATCCTTTATTTTCCTGCCTCTGCCATGATTTAGAAAATGCCAAGGCTATTCCTGGATGGGCATCATTTTGTTGTCAGAACACCTGCATGTAATTCTCTGTCCATCTAGAAACTAGGTCCTTTCCAGACCAGCAGTTCTTGCTACACAAGATGCCAAACCCTGAAGGATATTCATTCTTAGTGGCTGCTGGCTTTGCCACTTGTCATGCTAACTTCCCTCCTTAGCTAAAGTTGTGATTCTTAGTGCTGCTGCTGCCCAGCCCATCTCTTCTATCCACATCAGCCACGTGACCTTGATGACCTATGGCCATGGTTCCTACTCTCAGCCCTTTTGGAGGCTGAGTTTCTGCTGTGAATCCCACCTAAAAACTCCACCCTGGTTCACCTAGCCTTTTTCTCTCTGGCCAAGTATACTGAAAATACAAAAACAATAAGAGGCAGTGGTGTGCTGGAGCTGGCTTGTTGCTGAGAGTTAATTTGTAAATTTTCAAGAATTTTATATGCCAGTTGTTAAGTACAGCCATGATTAAAAGGTAACTTATATGAAGATATAATTTTAAAACATGTATGTTGAGACAAAGGTGATATACCGTGTTTATGTATTACAAGAAGACTTACTATTGTTTAGATGGCAGTACTCCCCATATTGATCTACATATTCAATGCAATCCTTATCAAAATTCCAGCCTGCTTTTTTTGCAGAAATTCACAAGCCAATCCTAAAATTCATGTGAAATGCAAGAGACCCACACTAGCCAAAATGACCTTGACCAGAAAAAGTTGCAAGACAAAATTCCTGATTTCAAAGCTTATTACACAGATGCAGTAAGACCATGTGTTACTGGCATAAGTGTATATATAGAGATCAGTAGAAATTGAGACCTGAAATAAACCCATATATTTATGATTTTTGACAAGTTACCAAGATAATTCAATGGGGAAAGAATAGTCTTTTCAACAAATATGCTGGGACAACTAGATATCTATATGCAAAATAATCAAGTTGGACCCCTACCTCACACCATATACAAAACTCAAAAGGGACCATCAACCCAAATGTAAGAAATAAAATTATAAAACTTGTAGAAGAAAACATATAAGTTTTTCTGACTTGGATTGGATAGTGGTTTTTTAGATATGCCACCAAATACACAAGTGAAAAGAATATATAGAAAAACTGGAATTCAGCAAAATTTAAAACTTTTGTGCTTCAAAGGACAACATCAATAAAGAAAAAAGAAAATGCACAACATAATAGAAAATATTTGCAAACTAGGTGTATATATATATATTTTATATATATAAAAAATATTTTCCTTATACCTGCTATATATATATATATATATGGAACTTGTATCCAGTAAAAAAAAAATATATATATATATATATATATGTATATGGAACTTGTATCCAGTAAAAATAAAGAGTTCTTAGAACTGAACAATAAACAACTTAATTTTTTTAAGGCAAAAGATTTGAATAGACATTTCTCTAAAGAAAAGATGAACGTGGTTGGTAAGCACATGAAAAGTTGCTCAACATCATTAGTCTTCAGGAACATGCAAATAAAAACCACAATGAGATACCATTTCATTCCCACTAGGATGGCTATAATCTTAAAAACTGACAAATGTTGTTGAGGATGCAGAGAAATTGGAACCCTCATCTATTGCTGGTAGATTGGAAAGTGGTGCAGTCACTTTGGAAAACACTTTGGCAGTTCTTCAAAAGGTTAAACATAGAGTTAGCATATGACTCAACAATTCCAATTCACAGGATATACACCTAAGAGAAATGAAAATATATGTTTACATAACAATGTTTACATGAATGTTCATGGCATTATTCATAACAGCCAAAAAGTGAAATAACTCAAATGTCCACCACTCATGGATGTGGTATATCCATACAATGGAATATTACTTAGGAAAAAGAAGGAATGAAGTAATGTAGTAATCAAAACTATGTGGGACTGGTGTAAGGATAGACATATGGATCAGCAGAATAGACTCGAGAGTCCAGAAATAATCTTTACATTTATGATTTTCTTTTTTTTTAATTATACTTTAAGTTTTAGGGTACATGTGCACAACGTGCAGGTTAGTTACATATGTATACATGTGCCATGTTGGTGTGCTGCACCCATCAACTCGTCATTTAACATGAGGTATATTTCCTAATGCTATCCCTCCCCCCTCCCCCCACCCCACAACAGGCCCTGGTGTGTGATGTTCCCCTTCCTGTGTCCATGTATTCTCATTGTTCAATTCCCACCTATGAGTAAGAACACGCGGTGTTTGGTTTTTTGTCCTTGCGATGGTTTGCTGAGAATGATGGTTTCCAGCTTCATCCATGTCCCTACAAAGGACATGAACTCATCATTTTTTATGGATGCATAGTATTCCATGGTGTATATGTGCCACATTTTCTTAATCCAGTCTATCACTGTTGGACATTTGGCTTGGTTCCAAGTCTTTGCTATTGTGAATAGTGCCACAATAAACATACATGTGCATGTGTCTTTATAGCAGCATGATTTATAATCCTTTGGGTATATACTCAGTAATGGGATGTCTGGGTCAAATGGTATTTCTAGTTCAAGATCCCTGAGGAATCGCCACACTGACTTCCACAATGGTTGAACTAGTTTACAGTCCCACCAACAGTGTAAAAGTGTTCCTATTTCTCCACATCCTCTCCAGCACCTGTTGTTTCTTGACTTTTTAATGATTGCCATTCTAACTGGTGTGAGATGGTATCTCATTGTGGTTTTGATTTGCATTTCTCTGATGGCCAGTGATGATGAGCTAGCCATATGTAGAAAGCTGAAACTGGATCCCTTCCTTACACCTTATACAAAAATCAATTCAAGATGGATTAAAGACTTACATGTTAGACCTAAAACCATAAAAACCCTAGAAGAAAACCTAGGCAATACCATTCAGGACATAGGCATGGGCAAGGACTTCATGTCTAAAACACCAAAAGCAATGGCAACAAAAGCCGAAATTGACAAATGGGATCTAATTAAACTAAAGAGCTTCTGCACAGCAAAAGAAACTACCATCAGAGTGAACAGACAACCTACAGAATGGGAGAAAATTTTTGCAATCTACTCATCTGACAAAGGGCTAATATCCAGAATCTACAATGAACTCAAACAAATCTACAAGAAAAAAACAAACAGCCCCATCAAAAAGTGGGCGAAGGATATAAACAGACACTTCTCAAAAGAAGACATTTATGCAGCCAAAAGACACATGAAAAAACATTTATGATTTTCAACAAGGATGCCAATACAACAAAATGGGTAAGGCTATATACATGTCATTACATGGATGAACCATGGAAACAATATGCTAAGAAGCAAATCACAATAGACTTTGTGAAATGTCCACAAAGGGTAACTGTGCAATAGGCAGTGATCAGTGGTTGCCCAGAGCCAAGGAGGAGGGCACTTGGGGGTAAATGGGGAGTGACTGCAAATTTATATAATGTTGCTGCTTGAGATGATTAAAATGTTCTAAAACTGATTGTAGTGATGGTTACAAACTCTAAAAATATACTAAAATCACTGAATTATTTTACTTTAAATGGGTGAATTTTATGGTATGTGAATTATATTTCAACATAGATGTTTTTAAAAATCCCAGAGGTAATACTAAAAGCTCACCCTTCTAATTATTATACTACATTTTACTATTATTTGTGCTCTTGATGTTATTTTGTCTGTTGCGTCTATGGTGGAAGTGCTCTGTAATGCTGTACTACTGTGCATCTCTCCAATTCCACTCTTTCAGTTACATCAGATTGTGAACTTTAAATTTCCCATAGTGGGTATAATTAACCAAGGGAAAGTGTGAAATTCTACAAATCAGGGCTTCTTTTATTTCCATGGTATCATCTGTGGCCTGTTACAAACCAGGCTGCACAGCAGGACTTGAGTGGCAGGCAAGCAAGCGAAGCTTCATCTGTATTTACAGCCACTCCCCATCACCCACATTACCACCTGAGCTTCACCACATGTCAAATCAGCGGTGGCATTAGATTCCCATAGGCGCATGAAGCCTATTGTGAACTAGGTTGTGGGCTGCTTATGAGAATGGAATGCCTGAAGATCTGTCACTGTCTCCCATCACCCCCAGATGGAACTGTCTAGTTGCAGGAAAACAAGCTCAGGGCTCCCACTGATTCTACATTATGGTGAGTTGTATAATTATTTCATTAGATATTACAATGTAATAATAATAGAAACAAAGTGTACAACAGATGTAACAAACTTGAATCATCCCTAAGCCATCCCCTCCCGCCTTCCCCGGTCTGTGGAGAAATTGTCTTCCACGAAACTGGTCCCTGGTGCCAAAAAGTTGGGGACTGCTGCTCTAGGGAATTCTGATACCTTTTGGCCACATCTCAACTCTAACTCATGTAATGTACCTCTGCCATACTTCTGTGCCACCTTGCCACTCCAGCCCTGCTCTACTGAGTTGAGCCAGAGTTGAGACAGCTATATATGAACTTCAGCTTTCAGAATGCTGAATCTCTCACTAACTTCTGATGTTGATTTGGATAGTATAATGAGATTTTGACCCTCTATATGATAGATTCAAAATGCAATCCATCTAAACCAAATAGTCTCAAATTATAAAAAGATTCTCACTCCTTCACCTTCAGCAGGTTCCTCAGCCTTCCACTGAAAGATAAAATAGAGGCCATTGGGAGCTGAACTCTTGGGACTTCCAGAGACATACCTGGAAGTGCCTGTTCCCCCAAGTGCCCCACCATGAGGGACTCATTCTCCTCTGGAAAACAAATCTATCCCCTTTGGATAACCACCACTCTGATTTTATACAGGAATTTGTCCCCTTAGATTCTCCTTCTTAGTGAATCCACTTCTTCATCAAGGAGGTATTTCCCCCCTTTCAGTCGAGATATTCCCACTCTGTGATCAGTCAAGTCAGCCAAATACTACACAATATGTTCTCCAAGATCTCTACGCATGGAGGGTGCTCCTAGAAGTCCATTGAGGGGTGAGCATTGCTTATCATTTCTGATTTGAGGTTCCTCTAAACCATGCTTTATGAACCACACCTTTTTGTGCCCCTTGCCTTTGTCACACCAGTTTTAAGGGGCTGCTCTGAAACCATGGCTCGAGGAGGACACCAGGACCACCTAAAACCCTTCCATTTGGGGGCCTCAGTTTTTCTGTCTTCTGAGAGGGGAGCAGAGAGAACACTCTGAGCCTTCTGAGTTTCTAGCAGTTTTTTTCAATCAAGGGCCAAGCAGCTCAGGGTGTCATAGCTCAGTACAGATTGTGACCAGCTTGGCAAGAGCCTGGCCTTTGCAGTCACCCCTAATGGCTCCAGTCCTCTTGCCAAGCTTGGTTCCACTCAGGCTCCGCCCCTCTTGCCAAGCCCCACCCGTCTCTAGCCCCACTCCTGAATCTATCACCTGAGCCAAGGTGTCCTCACCACCTAACCGCTACCCTCTGATAACAAGGTCTTAGTGCTCAGGAATTCTAAAATGTGGCAGGTGGTCTCACTGTGCTTGGGTAGTTGTCACTGAATGCATCCTTCCCATGGGGGAGTTTGTGTTGGAGTCGCAGGTAAACAATCCGCCTACAGAACTTCCTTCTGAAAACAGCTTAATTTCTTTATTTCTTTCAGGGAATATGAAGAAAGGTCTTAGAAGGAGATGAAAATGAGTATTTTACCAAAATGAAATTGAAAGAAGAAACAACTAAAGGAAAAGAAAAAAATAAAAGAATGAGAGAAAGTAAAAAATACATACATAGAAAATAACGTAAAGTAACAGACAAGATTTTGTGGGTGAAAAACTAGACAAGCAATTCAGGTAGTGTAATCCAAATCTAGAAAAATATACATTGAGAATCTGAAATGTATAGATTAAAGAATATTTCAAAATGGCAATTTACAGTAAATTATAGCCTTAGAGAGTATGTTAATCAATGAATGACACCATTATCAGTATTTGTGCTCTTGTGTTCTGACCTGGCCTACACTGAGAATGAAAGTTCCAAGTATGTTAGAATCTAATCTTGGCTTTGCTGTTGGCAGAAAGTACCTGGAAGTACTAAAGGAAAGTGAGGACAATGTTATCAGTAGCTGGAGGAAGGAGGACCCTTGTTATGTACTGGTTGAAAGTAAAGCAAAATGGAGGCCAAGGCGGGTGGATCACAAGGTCAGGAGATCGAGACCATCCTGGCTAACACGGTGAAACCCCGTCTCTACTAAAAATACAAAAAATTAGCCGAGCACGGTGGCAGGCGCCTGTAGTCCCAGCTACTCGGGAGGCTGAGGCAGGAGAATGGCGTGAACCCGAGAGGTGGAGCTTACAGTGAGCCGAGATCGCGCCACTGCACTCCAGCCTGGGTGACAGAGCGAGACACTGTCTCCAAAAAAAAAAAAAAAAAAGAAAAAAAAAGAAAGTAAAGCAAAATGGTCAGCTGCCATCACATGAAAAATAGAAATTTTTACTTAATGCAATGGATGATCTAGCTAAGGAGATTTCTAGACAGGGTGCTAAAATTTTGTCCTCAGCCTCTCCAGGACAAGCAATGATAAAATTAAGAAATAACTTTAGGAGGCCAGGTGCAGTGGCTCATGCCTGTAATCCCAGCACTTTGGGAGGCCGAGGTAGGGGGATCGCCTGAGGTTGGGAGTTCAAGACCAGCCTGACCAACATGGAGAAAACTCGTCTCTACTAAAAGTACAAAATTAGCCCGGCGTGGTGGCACATGCCTTTAATCCCAGCTACTTGGGAGGCTGAGGCAGGAGAATCGCTTGAATCCAGGTGGCAGAATTTGCAATGAGCTGAGATCGTACCATTGCACTCTGGCCGTGGGCAACGAGAGCGAAACTCCTTTTCAAAAAAAGAAGAAAGAAGAAGAAGAAGAAGAGGAAGAAGAGGAAGAGGAAGAAGAAGAAGAAAGAAAGAAGAAGAAGGAAGAAGAAGGAAGAAGGAGAAGGAGGAGGAAGGAGGAGGAAGGAGGAGGAAGGAGGAGGAAGGAGGAGGAAGGAGGAGGAAGGAGAAGGAGAAGAAGAAGGAGAAGGAGAAGAAGGAGAAGAAGGAGAAGGAGGAGAAGGAGGAGAAGGAGGAGAAGGAGAAGGAGGAGAAGGAGGAGAAGGAGAAGAAGGAGAAGAAGAAGGAGGAGGAGGAGGAGGAGAAGGAGAGGAAGGGGAGGAAGAGGAGGAAGAGGAGGAAGAGGAGGAGGAAGAGGAAGAGGAGGAAGAGGAGGAAGAGGAGGAGGAAGAGGAAGAGGAGGAAGAGGAGGAGGAAGAGGAAGAAGAAGAAGAAGAAGAAGAAGAAGAAGAAGAAGAAGAAGAAGAAGAAGAGGAAGAGGAAGAAGAAGAAGAAGAAGAAATAGCTTTAGGCGGAGATCAAATCCTAACAGGAAAACACATGGCATTTTTGAAATAATCATTAGTGAAAACACCATCAGTTTGACTTAAAAGGGACAAAGGTGGCTGGGCACAGTGGCTCACGCCTGTAATCCCAGCACTTTGAGAGGCCGAGGTGGGCAGATCACGAGGTCAGGAGATTGAGACCATCCTAGCCAACATGGCGAAACCCCAACTCTATTAAAATACAAAAAAAAATTAGCTGGGCATAGTGGCACTCGCCTGTAGTCCCAGCTACTCAGGAGGCTGAGGCAGGGGAATTGCTTGAACCTGGGAGGCAGAGGTTGCAGTAAGCCAAGATCGTGCCACTGCACTCCAGCCTGGCAACAGAGCAAGACTCCATCTCCAAAAAAAAAAGGGGGGACAAAGGTGGTTGGGTGCGGTGACTCACATCTGTAATCCCAACACTTGGGAGGCCAAAGTGGGAGGATCACTTGAGGCCAAGAGTTCGAGACAAGCCTGAGCAACATAGTGAGACCCTGTCTCAAAAAAAAAAAAAGATCAAAATATTAGCTGGGAGTGGTGGCATGCATCTGTAGTCCTAACTACTTGGGAGGCTGAGGTGGGAGGATTTTTGAGCCTAGGGGATCAAAGCTGTGGTGAGCCTTGATTGTGCCACTGCACTCCAGCCTGGGTAACAGAGTAAAACCCTGTCTCAAATAAATACATACATACATACATACATAATAAAAATTATAAACTTTATTTCTCAACATAAGTTCTATCAAATTCAAGAAACTTTTGTAAGGAACGGTACCAGCCATTTAGTCCATCCCTAAAAACCTGAAGATCCTGGGAATTTAACCATGTCCATGCAGTCTTTTTTACATTATTAACTGAAGAAAAATGAGTGCACTTTAAAGATTTTGTTAAAATTAGGAAACAAAAAGAAGTCAGAAGGAGCCAAATAAGGACTGTAAGGTAGATTCCCATCAAAACTCTCACAAAATTGCCCTTGTTTGATGAGGGGAATGAGCAAGATCATTGTTGTGGCAGAGAAGGACTCTCTGATGAAGCTTCCCAGGCATTTTTCTGCTAAAGTTTTGGCTAACCTTCTCAAAACATTCTCATAATAAGCAGATATTATCATTCTTTGGCCTTTCAGAATGTCTACAAGCAAAACGCCTTGAGCATGCCAAGACACTTGCCATGACCTCTGCTCCTGATCAGTCTGTTTTTGGGGTGACTGGACCACTGCCACCTCTTGGTAGCCATTGCTTTGATTTTGCTTTGTCTTCAAGATTGTATTGGTGAAGCCATGTTTCATCTCCTGTTACAATTTGAAGAAATACGTCAGGATCTTGATCCCACTTGTTTAGAATTTCCACTGAAAGCGCTCTGCTCTTGTCTGAAGCTGATCTGGGCACAACAGTTTGGGCACCCCTTGAGTGGAAAGTTTGCCAAACTTTACTAATTTTCAGTCAGAATTGTGTAAGCTGAACCAATAGAGATGTCTACAGTGTTGACTATTTGTTTCTATTGTTAACTGTTGGTCTGCCTCAATTTGGGCAGATACGAGATGAATTTTTTCCTTGCAAATTGATGTTGATGGTCTGCCACTGCAGGCCTCATCTCCGACATCATCTCATCCCTTCCTAAAATAAGTTATCCATTAGTAAATTGCGGATTTCTTCAGGGAATTGTCCCCATAAACTTTTTGTAAGGCATCAATCATTTCATGAAACTGCCGTCAGATAGAATGCAATAAGAACAGAGCATCAGTCTGCGATATTACTCCAAAAGATAAATTTAATCACGAGGAAATATCAGACAAATGCAAATTGATAGACTTTCTACAAAATTACTGGCCTATAATTTTGAAAAGCATCAAAGTCATGAATCTCAGAAAAAGCCTGCAGAACTGTTCCTTTCTGAAGGACAGGAAAGAGACATGACAACTAAATGCAAACTATGATACTAAATACAATCATTTTCTTTAAAAGACTGTTATTGGGACAGTTCACAAAAAGTTACTGAGGTCTAAAGATGAAAGTTATTAATGTTAATATATCAGTGCTATCAAAGTTAATGTATCAATGTTAACATTCTGATTTTGATTATTATAACTTGGTCACGCAGGAGAAGCTTTTTGTTTGTAGGAAATACTAAGTTATTCAGAGGTGATGAAACATAAGATTAAGAACTTAATTTCAGCCAGGAGTGGTGGCTCATGCCTGTAATCCCAGCATTTTGGGAGGCTGAGGCAGGTGGGTTGTTTGAGCTCAAGAATTCAAGACCAGCCTGGGAAACATGGCAAAACCCCATCTCTACAAAAAACACAAAAAGTAGCTGGGTGTAGTGGCACGCCCCTGTGGCCCCAGCTACTTGGGAGGCTGAGGTGCAAGGATCATCCAAGCCCAGAAAGGTCAAGGCTGCAGTGAGCCCTGATGGTGCTTCTGCACTTCAGCCTGGGTGACAGAGTCAGACCTTGTCTCAAAAAAAAAAAAAAAAAAAAGAAAAGAAAAAAAGGACTTAATTTCAAGTGGTTCAGAAGAAAGTTATTTTTTGCTTTTCTGCAAATTTGTGATCTATTTAAAAATACAAAATTATTTTTAAGAAAGAGAAAACCAGAAAAAACATGTTAACTTTAAAAAATTATAATATACTGACAAATATACTATGTACACTGATATATATTAAATCAAAGTATAATTGATATGCATTAAAATGTATCCATTCTAAGTATACAGTTTGATGTTTTGACAAATTTAAACATCCATATCACCATTAGCAAAATATAGAATATTTCCTTTGTAGTACACATACACCACCTCATACTCTCAGTCCCAAGCAACCATTAATTTGCTCTTTATAACTATAAATTAGTTTTGCTTGTTTTACACTCTTTTGTATCTGGTTTCTTTATCAATCTTGTTACATGTAGCCATATTTTATTCTATTTTTTAACCAAGTAGTATTCCATTATATGGCTATGCCACAATTAGTTTATTTATACAGTTTTTGGTGGACATTTGATCCCTGTCCAGTTTTGGGATATTACAAATAATACTGCTATAATTATTCACCAATGGGTCATTGGGAACATATGCTTTTAATTCTCTTTTTAAGTACATAGGAGTGGAATTCCTATGTCAGATAGTAAGTGTATGTTTATAAGAAATTGCCAAACTGTTTTGCAAAATGGTTGTATCGTTTTATGTTTTCAGAAGCAATGTTTGAGAGTTCCAGTTGCTTCCCATCCACATGAACACTTGCTATCTCAGTCTTTTTATATTTTCTAACGCGTATGTAGTGTTATCAGAATTTAATTTACACTCTCCTGATGAATAAACAAAATATCTTTTCATGTACTTATTTGCTCTTTGCATGTATCTATTCTTTGTGAAATGTCTGTTCTCATTTCTCGGCTGTTTCTTTTATTGTGTTGCTGTCTTCTTATTACTGAGTTATAGAAGTTTTTACATCTTCTGAATTCAAGTCCTTTGTCAGATACACATATTTCAAATATTTTCTCCCAGTATGTGACTTGTAGTTTCATTTTCTTTAAAAAGTTGTTCAAAAGTCAGGTATTTAAATTTTTTATCATGTCCCATTTATCAATTTTTCCCTCTATGGTTTATGTTTATCCTTTCTTATCTAAGAAATAGTTATCTTTTTTCCTTTTCAAATGGATAGCTATTTTTTTCTGCACTATTTGTTGAAAAGACTATGCTTTATCCAATGAATTACTTTGGCGTCTTTGTTGAAAACCACTTAACCATATACGTTAGGTTTCTTTTTCTCAGCTCTTTCGTTCTCTTAATCTGCATTTCTATTCTTGCACCACTATGCCCTTTTAAATTTGCATGACTCTGTAATAAACCTCAAAATGAGATTTCAAGAGTCTTCTAATGTTGTTGTCTTCACTATTGTACTGCTTTTGCATTCACGTATAACCATTAGAATCCATTTACTAATTTCTACCCCCATCAAAAGCCTGCTGGGACTTGGATTTGGGTTTCTTAAATTTTGAGCAATTTGGGGAGACAAGACACCGTAACAATGTTAAGTTTTCCAAACCATAAGCATAATGTATCTTAAATAGATAAGTAAATCTTATGTTATTTTCAATTTTTATTAGCAATGTTCTGTAGTTTTTAGTTTATAGGTCTTGAACATATTTTATAACATTTATCCTTAAGCATTTTATATTTTGATGTTATTTTAAAAATTTCTTTTGCCACTGTTTCTTAATAGTACGTAGAAATATAATTGAGTTTTATATATTGGCCTTAGACGCTGTCCTTTGCTAATTTCAGCTGCAAGTTCTAATAGCTGTTTCGAAGATTCAAAAAAATTTTAGAAAGATACTCAAGTTGAATAAAACAAACTGCACTTCTTCCTTTCTATCTGTATGCCTTTTGTTTCATTTCCTTGCTTAAATGCACTAGCTAAGCTCTCCCATATAATAATGACTAGAAATATATAGAGTGGGCATCTTACCTTGTTCTCAATCACAGAAAGAAAGCATTTAGACATTCTTTTCCCAATAAACAGGAAGGTAGCTGTAGATTTTTTACTCATGTCCTGTATTCTGTTATTAGGAGAATATAGTTTTATGGTTGCCTTGTCTTCCTGATAAACAAAAACTTTTATCATTATGAATTGTCCCTTTTTATCACCGTTAATACTCTTCATCTTAAAGACTACTTTACATAATAGTAATACAACTAAACAGCTCAGTTGTCTTATGTTTTCATAATATAGTTTTTTTTGTGCACTTACTTTTAACTCATCTCTTTATATTTAAGGTGTAGTTTTTGTAAACAGCATATAGTTGAGCCTTGCTATACTTGGAGAGTTTCTTCATTATCATTTAATTTAACTATTGATATGGTTAGATTTAAGTCTACAATTTTACTTTTTGTTTGGTGCTTTTCCCATCAGTTTCTTCTATCTGTTTACTTTCATTCGCTCTCTCTAGTGCCTCAAAGTAACTGTTTTAAATATTTCTTCCAGAAATTACAGTTGTTATGTGAAAGAAAATTTGTTCAGTAGGAGTTACTTGGATATTATCAGAAACTGGAAGCCTCTGATACATACATTTTAAAGATACTGGAGTTTTTTTTTTACATTTACCAATTTTTATTATAAAGGATATTATAAAAGATACACACTAAGAGATACATAGAACAAGCTATGTGCGAGAAGAAGTGTGGAGTTTCCATGCTCTCCCCGGTGTGTCACCCTCTGGAGCCTCCACTTATTCAGCCATCCAGATGCTCTCCAAACCCAGTCCTTTTGGGTTTTTATGGAGGCTTTGTTACACAGGTATGATTGATTAGATCCTTGGCCATTGATGATCAATTTAACTTTCATCCTCTCTCCTGTCCTCAGAGGTTGTGAAGTGAGGCACAAAGTCCCAACCCTCTAATCATTAAAATATGCTATTTTTAAATTTTGCTATAATGTCATCAATCCAGTAATCTCTTTTTTGAATGAAAAATGAAAAATGTATTGTTTTTCTCCTCTTGGTCCACGTAATAGTCCCGATTATTTAATATAATAAATGTATTTAATTTCTCTTTTGCTTTATCAGAAAAACTTGCCCTAACAGATTCTTTGATGCAATTTGACTTTGATTTTGCCTGCTTAAATTTTTTAGTACAGATTTTAACTGGCATTTTCCCATCCAAGTTCTAACCAGGCCCAATCCTGCTTACGTTCTGAGATTGGATGAGACTGGGCACACTCAGGTTGGTATGCCATAGAAAACCTGGCGTTTTCTATTTCAGACTTCTGCATCTGCTGCTACTGTGCCTTCTCAGCATACCACATCACCGGTGTTTGTCCATCTTGCACTACTTCCAACTGGCATATGATTTGACCTATTATCTCCTTTATATCTTTAGCCTTTTTTTTCTGAATAAATGTGATAAAGGTATGTGACCTTCAGGAAGGCCTCCAATGCAGATTTTTTTTATAGTATCAGCAAGATCTTATCAAAGTTGTCACACTATAATCCCTCTCTCTGCTTTGCCAACTTCATACCTATTTTTTTCTTTCAAGTGATGATATTCTTTGAATAACTAGTTATTTCTTTCTTCCAGCATGTGTTTGTTTTTCACTCTCAGCTTGATTTGTTGTGCATACTTACACAATTTATCTTTTATATTAGTCATTGTGTTTTTCTATTTCATAATCTTTTTGTGCATATTACCCCATTGTTTGAAAACAATATATTTTTACTTTGTAGTTTCAGTGATCATTTCTTTAAGGTTTTTTATCGTATAATATATTCATTTTGTGCGTTCATGTTGTCACATGTATTCACTTTCCTTCTTTTTACATTCTGTGATAGGAGGTCTAACCAATATCTTTTGGTTCAGAGGGTAACTTTAGTGCGATAAAGCTCATTGTGTAGGTTACTACTTTAACATTTAGTTTTCAACATTATTGAGAAGGCACATCATGGTTATATTTTAGTTCAGACGAATGAAAATATTGGAACCTGATGATTCAATGTCTTACTCTGTTTATGTTGCTATCAAGGAATACCTGAGGTTCAGTAATTTACATAGGAAGGAGGTTTATTTGGCTCACAGTTCTGCAGCCTGTACAAGAAGCATGGCACCAGCATCTGCTTCTGGCAAGGAATTCAGGCTGCTTCCACTCATGGTGGAAGAGGAAGGGGAGCTGGTGTGTGCAGATCACATGGTGGGAAAGGAATTGAGAGAGAGAGGAGGAGGTACCAGGCTCTTCTCTACAACCAGTTCTCATGTGAACTAAAAGTGAGAACTCACTCACTCCTGCAAGAAAGGCACCAAGACATTAAGGGATCTGTCCCCAGCATCCAAGTACCTTTCACCAGGCCCCATCTCCAACACTGGGGATAAAATTTCAACATGAGACTTGGCAGGGCCAAATAAATTATAACATATCCCAACCGGCTTGGTGGCGGGTGCCTGTAATCCCAACTACTCGGGAGACTGAGGCAGGAGAATCGCTTGAACCCGAGGGGCAGAGGTTGCAGTGAGCCGAGATCACACCACTGCACTCCAGCCTGGACAACAGAGCGAGACTCTGTCTCAAAAACAACAACAAAAGAACAAAAAACAAACAAACAAAAAAACATATCCAACCGTAATATTCAATTTCTCTTTGCTTTGTTTTTCATTTATTAATTTGAGTTCAATGCTGCTTTCTCAGGTATTACTGCATAAAGTAGTCCATTATACTGAATATTGTTTTGGCTAATATTTCTTTGCCCAGTTTTATTATCTTTTGAATATCAAAATTCTTTTATGTTAAAATGTTAATATCCTCAATATATTTTCTCTGATCTTGATTTATAATTTTCATAATTTTTTCACCTGGCCCTTCTGAGATCTTATGATCTTGATTCTTTTATTTTGTTCAGTTCCACTCTTAGCATGGCAATTTCATTCTGTAATATGTCCTTTTTGTACAATAGATATTTTTCCTTTTCCTTGCCTTCAGAAATCTCAGAATTCTTAACGTTTTAAGTGGATAATTTCTATTTCTTTCTGCTTGCAAAGTGATGGCTGAAAATTTCATTCTGGTAGTTTTAAAAAATGGCCTCAAACTCTTTGAATCCCTTCCCATCAAGAGGTTGGTCTGTTTCTCTTCACCTTGAATGTTCGTGAGTTTCTGACTGCTTTGACCACTGAGTATAGTAGAAGTGATGCTATGTGACTTCCAATGCTAGCTCATAAGAGGCTATACAGCTTTTGACTTGCTCACACATACACACAGTAGCCCTAAGCCGCCATATAAAACTATGACTACTCCAAAGTCACTATGCTGTGATGAAGTCCAATCTACATTGAGAGGCCATATGTAACTCTTGTCATTGACAGCACACACTTTACTGTGTCATTAAAGCACACACTTTACTGGTCATTATAGCACAGGGACCAGACATAAGTGGAGAAGCAACTAGGTGATTCAGGCCTAAGCCATAGGAGTCATGCCCAGCAATTTGTCTTCCCAGATGAAACTTCAGATTTCCAGTGATTTTAGCACTGTTGTCAAAAATCAATTGACCGTAGATGTATGGGTTTATTTCTGGACTCTCAATTTATTCCATTAATCTATATGTCCAGCCTGATGCCATTACCACACTGTTTTGATACATACAGCTTTTTTTTTTTTTTTTTTTTTGAGACAGAGTCTCATTCTGTTGCCCCGGCTGGAGTGGAGTGGTGCGATCTTGGCTCACTACAGTATCCACCTCCCAGGTTCAAGTGATTCTCCTGCCTCAGCCTCCTGAGTAGCTGGGATTACAGGCACCCGCCATCACACTCAGTAGTTTTTTCTATTTTTAGTAGAGATGGGGTTTCACCATGTTGGCCAGGCTGGTCTTGAACTCCTGACCTCAGGTGATCTGCCCACCTCGTCCTCCCAAAGTGCTGGGATTACAGGCATGAGCCACCACACCCGGCCTGCTAGTACTCTTTTTCTGAGTACTCTTTTCCTCTGCCTTCATGAAAATATCTTTCACATCACTAAAAACAAGGCTGTACTCAGGTTTGTATATAAAAGTATTTTCAAATTAATTAATTAATTGAAACATTTATCAAGTGTTGCATCAATTTACTTAATCTTGAGGGTAATTAATTGCTTGAAAGGAATTATGATGTCTAATGTTTGCATAAAGTCTCTCATTATAGGATCTATTCTTGTTATATAATCAGACCCAGCTAAAGAGAAAGAAGGCAATTATCTCAGAAACTCTGCAGGAAACTTATTAAATGGGCTCATACCAATGAGGCAGGGAACTTAACTTCTGTCTTTTGACAATTTCAATGTACCACACAATTTTAATATTGAGACTACAACAGTGAAACGAATAAACTTGTGAAGAAATAAAGCCACCTGTGGGAACAGATATTTCACAAGGTGCAGCAAAAACTGCCTTAAATGAACAAGCAAATGTTGTTGGTACATGTTCTTCTAGAATAATGACATATACCTAAGTGTGAAAAGGCAATGCTGCAGCAAAAATTTGTGTTTCTCTAGTGTTCCTTCCATTCAGGTAATATAGGGGGAGGAGAGAAGGCTTGCTATGATTAGTTGACTCTATTCTTGCCTAACTGCTTAACACAGTATCTCCGTGTGGTGTCCTTGCTTGAGTACACATGTGTGGTTTCCTCCTGCCAATTTCTGAAAGCATTTGTAAGGTTTCAGTAACCTAGCCCTTAATGTACGAAAAATAATGACCAATTACTTACTGAGCTCCACTGAATAAGTCTACTTATTGCAGACTAAGTGTCTACATTCCTTGTCTCTAATTCTGTCATCAATCTTATAAGACAGAGATTCACCCCATATTACAGATGGGGAAACTGAGGTTCAGAAATGTTGCATTATCAGACCAAGGTTCCACATCTGACAAATGGTAAAGTCAGAATTTGAATGGAGGAGTCAGTTTCCCTGGCTCCAGTGCTTGTGTTTCATCTGTGACGTCATGATGCTGCCGCCCAGCTGCACTCCCAGACATCCCCTCGTTTCACAGACTTTTAATGACTCTCAAATAGTCACTCTTAATTTGAATCTTTTCTGTTCATTCTAGATCTTTAATAATTCTGACTTTGAAAAAAGATTAGGTAAATACACAGCTGCACCACACTTGTCCACCATCTGGAAAAAAAATGCCATGCTCTGAGAAATTTTAACGTAAGATTCTTAACACAGAAACACAATTTAATTGACATAATGAACTTCAAGAATAAAAAGATATTTGTGCAAGCTTTAAAGCAAGAAAGAAAAAATATCATGCACAATAGAAAAATCAGGCTAGTCAAAAATTTCTTCACAGCAATATTTCTGCTCAATATTTTACTTGAAAGACTTCAAACTTGCAGAAAAATGGAATACTGCTACTACATAGAACACCAAGATTTACCAACTAATATTTTCCTCATTTGTTTATCTCTATCTATGTATGGATTAATCACTTTTTTATTTTTGTATTCTCATTTTCTTTGAAAATTTTGTTCTCAACCATTTGAAGTTAGGATGCAAATATCACAACACTTCACATTTTTGTTGAAATGTTTCTACTTATGGGAAGATGAAATGTCCAACCCAAACAATGAATGAAAGATATCTTAAATTCTGACTACCTATAATGTGAGCTGGATGCCAGAGAGGCTCAGAGGTAATTGGAAATTAGAGCATTGGCCTCTTATTTAAACAATATAGGTGAATCAATGTAGGAGCTTTATGGTAGGAAATTTCTCCAATATTTAGTAATAAGAGATTTATAAGACTTGAAAGCATGAGTTAATCTATTTGAAGAAAAAGGAGTACATATCTCAGTCAGAATTCCAGCAAAATGTGCAGATAGTATTTAGGGAAAGCAATAAGCAATAGTAGGTTCCCTACAGTTTGCAACACCAGGGAACTATTACTACATCTAGCCTGGAAGGCAATGTTTATGGAAACCTATTGAGAACAGCTGTATGGGAGAGGGCCATCTGAGAGGAGCTGTGAAATTTGCTAGGGTACTTGGTAACCCATAGAGAATCGACAGGGAAAGATCTGGGACAGTAAGCACCCTCCCTCATTCACTTCCCAGGACAGCAACCACCCTCCCTCATTCACCTCCCAGTCTCTAGGTCTCCTGGTGATCCTCCCCAGTGATTAAACCAGCTGTAAGCCAAAAGTCAAAGGCTACTCATGAAACAGTCCACAAAGGTCAGCCCTCTGAGGCAGAGAGTACGGTGGCAAAAGGTAAACAGTGCATTTGTTGGACAAAAATGAAAGACAAAATTGTTAGACAAAATTATCTGCATATACTTTCTACCTACCATTCCCATTTTGGTAGAATAATTTTTACAACACAGACATAGTTACACACACACAAACAATTGTAACTGAGTACTATATATAGGTTACATAATTATATTTATAATATAAAGCTATTGTAATATAAAACAGTTGTAATACAAATCTGATTATAACATAAATAGACTTTGCTATTTTGAATAGTACTGCAATAAACATAGGAGTACAGGTGTCTTTTTGATAGAATGATTTCTTTTCCTTTGAGTAGATGCCCAGTAGTGGGACTGCTGGGTCAAATGGTAGTTCTATTTTTAGTTCTTGGTAAAATGTCCAATGTGTGGTAAGTAAATACACCAAGACACAAAGAATTGCAGCAGAGAAAGAGGTTTAATCACAAGGCAGCCAAACAAGGAGACTGGAGGAAACCTCAAATCCACCTCCTCAAGGAGTTTAGGATCTAGGGATTTTAAGGGGTTTGGATGGTTAGTGGGCCAAGGTATAAGGATCACTGATTGGTTGAAGAATGAAGGGTGACGTCATGGAACTAAAGAAATTGCATTCTTGCATTGAGTCAGTTCTCCTTTTGGTGTCTTCAGACTGGTGGGCATGAGCTGTCCTGCTAGAATTCAGGATCTGGGCCAGGCATGGTGGCTCATGCCACCATGACAGAGATTCATCCCAGCACTTTTGGAGGCCAAGGCAAGAGGATCTCTTGAAGCCAAGAGTTCAAGAGCAGCCTGGGCAACAGAACAAGATTCTGTTCCTACAAAAATAAAATAAAGTTAGTTGGGTGCGGTGGTAAGCACCTATAGTCCCAGCTACTTGGGAGGCTGAGGTGGAAAGATCACTTGAGCCCAGAAGTTTAGAGGCTGCAGTGAACTGTGATCATGCCACTGTACTCCAGCCTGAGTGACAGAGCAACATCTTGTCTCTAAAAATAATAATAATACAATTTTTAAAAAAGAATTCAGAATCTGAAAATCATCTTGAATGGAAAGTTTCAGACTTCTAATGCTAAAGATGCTATCTATAGGAACAATGAGGAAGTTCATGGTCTGTGTTCTGGCCTACGTGACTTTCGGTTAGTTAGCAATTACAGCGAAGTGGGCCAAAGTGTAGCCTGATTAATGCTTGACTGCCCTTCAGCCCAAAACCTGGCATGTTATTATGAGGATGGTTTCAAGAAGACAGAATGAGAGAGGAAAAACTAAAATGTAAGAATAAAATAAAGCAACTGAGAGAATACTAACGTGAGAATATTAAAAAGAATTTGGAAATGCCAATTTACAGAAATAACAGCCTTAAGAGTGGATACACATCAGTCATACCCTTATATGTTGGTAAAAATATGCATCAGTATATAATACAATGTGTAGAAAAGAACTAGCAAAGCAGACCTGAGACTGCTATTCTTAGAAAGGCCTGCTTGCAAAGTTGGCCCTTGGCTGACATCTGGGAACTTAACTGGTAAACAGGTACCTACACTGATATAAAACTTTCCCTTGGTCGGGCACAGTGGTTCATGCCTGTAATCCTATAACCTTGGGAGGCTGAGGCAGGAGGATTGCTTGACGTCAGAAGTTCAGAAGTTCTAGGCAATATAGCAACACTCCGTCTCTACAAAAATATTTTATAAATTGGTCAGGTGTGGTGGCACACATCTGTAGTCCTAGCTACTATGAGGCTGAGACAGGAGGATTGCTTGAGCCTGGGAGTTTAACGCTGCAGTGAGTTCTGATCAAACCCCTACACTCCAGCCTGGGTGACAGAGCAGGACCCTGCCTCTAAAAAAGTAAAATAAAATAAAACACTTTCCCTAAATGATAAGGGTGGCTCACTGTGCCTAGACTGTGTGGACAGTATGGTTTATGCTGAACAACTGCTTTCCATCTGGGTATCTGGAATCATGGTACATGGTAGGCAGGGAATGCCTATATGTCCAGCTCCCAGTAAAAGCCTTAGGGACAGTCTCTAATGACACCCCGATAACATATCACACATTGTCACACTCATTGCTAGAGGAAGTATGTCTTGTGCAACTCCACTGGGAGAGAACTCTTGGAAACTTGTGCCTGTGGTCCTTTGGACTTTGCCTCATGTGCCTTTTACCTTTGCTCATTTTGCCTTGTATCTTTTCATTGCAGCAAATCTTAGCCATGATTATGACTATGTGCTAAGTCATGTGTGCCCTTCTGGCAAATCATCAAAACTGGAGCTGGCCTTAGGAAGCCGCAACACATGCAGATATTGATTTTGTCTGTGCTCTAGAGTTCTGTGTTCAACCTCAAGTTAGCATGGAGGAACCAAAGTGCGATTTTGTAATTGAATTCTAGATATTAGCTTCAGTCTTACCCCTGGCAAGAAGTACCTTGAAAGTTTCTGTCCTAGAGGTCTTTGGTAGATCTGTGTTCTCCTCTCCTGCCGCTGTGGTCCCCACTTGAGCTGATTCTTAGTTCCTTGTTCTGCATTGCCTGTTCCCATGCCTGGAATTCTAAACCTTGGAGCTTAATTGCATTTTTAAATCTATGTCCTGATCCAGGTCCACTGTGATCCTCAGCTTTCAGAACCCTGGTCTTCACCATGCCCAGTCAATGCTATGGCTGCTCCGTTAGCTTTTTCATCTAGTTTCTCCCGTCCTGAGTTTCCCTGAGCCTATGCCCTAACTTCAGCCCAAGGCTAATTACAGCACTCAGAGTAGGAAGATTTATTATTAATATCGAATTTATTACTACTGGCTGTACAGCCTGGCAAAGGACTTAGGCTCCTGAGTCTAAACTGCTTAAACTGAACATGAATAATATAACCTTTCTTCTGTTTGCCTAATAAGGCACTTGTGAGGGTCAAATAAGATGTTTTTTTTGTTTGTTTTTGAGACAGTCTCACTCTGTCACCCAGGCTGGAGTGCAGTGGCACAATCTCGGCTCACTGCAACCTCCGCCTCCCAGGTTCAAGCAATTCTCTTGTCTCTGCCTCCCAAGTAGCTGGGATTACAGGCGTGCAACACCATGCCTGGCTAATTTTTGTATTTTTAGTAGAGACAGGGTTTCACCATATTGGCCAGGCTGGTCTCGAACTCCTGACCCACCTGCCTTGGCCTCCCAAAGTGCTAGGATTACAGGCATAAGCCACTGCACCCAGCCAGATTTTATATGTGTAAGTATTTATCAACTATGGAGCACTACACAGTTACACATTTCACATATTATGATTATTGCCATCATCTCCAAGCTATACCTACAGATAGAGTCACACAAATTTGACTTTTCTAAAAAGTCCTTACTAACCTTTCTCTAGGCCAACCACAAAAAAATCAAGCACTGGAATTGTCATACAAGACTTTAAAGCAGCCATGTAATCATCTTCCACAAGGTAAAGGTGAATGCCCTTGAAATGAATGGAAAATCAGAAATTCTCCACAGATGAAAAAGGCCCAAATAGAAACTTCAGAATTGAAAAATACAAAAACGTAATTAACATAAAACTGAGTGACATGGTTTGGGTTTGTTCCCACCCAAATCTCAACTAGAATTGTATCTCCCAGAATTCCTACGTGTTGTGGGAGGGACCCAATGGGAGGTAATTGAATCATGGGGGCGGTCTTTCCCATGCTATTCTCGTGATAGTGAATAAGTCTCAAGAGATCTCATGGGTTTATCAGGCGGTTCCGCTTTTGCTGCTTCTTCATTTTCTCCTGCTGCCGCCATGTAAGAAATGCCTTTTGCCTCCCACCATGATTCTGAGGCCCCCCAAGCTGTGTGGAAATGTAAGTCCAATTAAACCTCTTTTTCTTCCCAGTCTCGGGTATGTCTTTATCAGCAACGTGAATATGGACTAAAACACTGAGTCACCGTGTTAGCTCAATAGCGGAATGGAGATGACAGAGGAAGAAGTTGGGGAATTTAAAAATAGGTCAACACAAATTATACAATCTGAAAAATAGAGAAAAATAAGACTGAAAAGCAATGAAGCAGGCACAGTGGAATGCCTATAGTCCTAACTACTTGGAAGGTTGAGGTAGGAGGATCACTTGAACCTAGAAAAAGTCAACACCAGCCTGGGCAAGATCCTGTCTCTATCTCAGAGAGAGAGACAGAGAGAGAGAGAGAGAAAAGAAAAGCAGTGGACAGAGCTTTGAAAACTTTTTGAACAATATAAAAAATCCAAGTTAACCAGGCATGATGATAGCTCACACCTGTAATCCCAGCACTTTGCAATACCAAGGTAGGAAAATCACTTGAGCCCAGGAGTTCAAGACCAGCCTGGGCAACATAGTGAGATCCTGTCTTTACAAAAATTAAAAATTAAAAAAAATATAGCCAGACATGGCAGCATGCACCTGTAGTCTCAGCTACCCAGAAGACTGAGATAGGGGGACCACTTGAGCCCAGAAGGTCAAGGCTGAAATAAGCCTTGATGGCACCACTGTACTTCAGCCTGGGTAACAGAGAGAGAGAGAGAGACCCTGTAAATAAATAAATAAATAAATACATGAAAAAATTAACTTCTATATAATTGGAGTCTCAGAAGAAGAAAATGAGATTAGTGCGCACAAAAATATATTTGGAAAAATTGGCTAGAACATCTCAAATTTAGTGAAATACATAAATTTACATATTCAAGAAGCTCAATGAACCCCAAACGGGCTCAAAAATAGACTAAAAAAAGAAAACCATACCCAAACATGTTGTAATTAAACCACCGAAACCAAACGTAAAGGAAAATTACTGAAAGCAGCTGAAGGAAAACAACACATATAGGGGTACAATTATTGCAGGCCAAAAGAGTGAGGGTCGTGATCAACTCAGTATACCACTGGAGGCTATATGAGTAAACAGCAAACTGTTCTCATAAATGCAGAATGTTGGCAAACTGTCAAACTGCGTCTGCCACCCAGAAGGAATGCTGAGGGCAGTCACACCCCAAGCGCAGTGTTTCCTGTGATTAGGTACATCTGAAGCCTGTTAGTAATAATATGAACCTGTGATCAGTTAAGCAGCTGACCAATCGTTACCTCCTCTTCCTTGCTTTTTCTACCCAATAAATACGAAGGGCTGTAGAAGCTCAGGGGCTGCCTTTGCTCACTAGAAGCAGGGAGCTCTCTTCTTCTTCCTCTGGCCCCTTCCTTTAAAACAGTTTCTGTTGTCTTAAGTTTTCATTTCTATGTTCGTCCCTTCATTCACTCTTGTAATGATGGTCTCAAGTAGTGACAGTAGTAACTGCCCCACTGACGGTCTCAAGTAGTAACCGTGGCAGTCTGTCACATGCAATGATTGAAATGCAGACTTTTCCTTAGTAACCAGAGAGTGAAAAAAAAATTTTTTTCCAAGGGCTTAAAACTGACCAAAGGTACTGTTTTCTGTTTAAAGAAGAGATTAATGAAAATAAAAATAGCTGCTTCACAGTAGAAAATTTCTCATTTTTGTTCATGAAATCACCACTAATAGAAAAACGTACAGAGTGGAAGAAAGCAGAATTGGGCAGAGTGAGATGTTGAACTGCCATAGCCGTTCAACATGAGATGTTGAAATCCACCGCCCAGCACATGGAGCTCTGAAGCTGGGACAACCTGCAAGAATTGCCCAGGATTGAGGCAATCAGGAAAGGCTTTATACTCCATGTCACTGATGCGTCATTGGATGTGAACTGTCCAGGAAACGGGCGTGACCTTCAGTGTGTAACTCTCTTTGGCTTAGGCAACTCAGAAGAGGACTTACAATTGAAGGCTTTCTGCTAGCAACGCTTTCTGCTAGCAACACACCCTGCAACTGGAGGAACACATTCTTGAGTCTGGAAGTAGAACCGGGTGCCCCACAGCATCCGTTATTCCTACACATTACACTGGTAAATTATTTATCCTTCAGAAGGTGCTGTCTCGATTTGCACTCCTCTGTTATTAATGGCACTTTTTAAAAACTGAAATTGTTTTTTTTTACGTAATTTCTCCAACCACACGGTGAGTGTCTCATGAGAAAGAATGTTGTATTCACCACCACCTATTTCCTCAGTCTCCACTTTTCGGGCTGAACCCGAGAGCCAGCGTGCAGCGCAGCTGGGGGCGTGACCGACATGAGATGAAAACTGCGCAGACTCAGCAACTCAGCCCCAATAGGAGGGCACGAGCCCCAGCGTCCTCGGTTTCCATAGTGACAGAGCCTACTTCTGGTCTCTAACCGCCACGGTTTCCCTTCTTAGCTCCGGGCGCACCCAGGAAAGACAAAAATACGCATAAGGCCAGCCGTTTGACCCCTTGCTGCGGAAGATAAAGGGCTCCACTCTAAACGTGGTGATCCTGGTAAACGCAGGAGTTGGGGGAGCGTGCAAGACCCTGAGAATTTTCCTTCTTTACCCGCCCCCAGGCCTAGCCCACCCACCTAGACCGCGATCAGCCCTCCCTTTATAAGGGGAGTGTGCTCTGGTATAAGATTTGTTAGGTGATTAAATATAAAGAAAACCTGTTAACCACCTACCCTACCTTCAAGAAACATCCCCCACTAGCCAGCTTTAATACATAAATTATGTCTCTGGAAAATTGTCACTTGGGGTCTTGAAGGCCCATTAGTCTGCAAGTCACCCAGAAGGTCAGTCCCCTTGTGAAGGGGTGTGTATGTCCCAAGAGGGACACAGGGCTGGGAGGCAGAAGATCTGGGCTCTGAACTGGCCGTTACCCAGCTTTGTGATCCGAAACTCGCTCTGCTCCTCTGAAGAGTGGTTTGTGGAATGTGATGGAGCTGTGGGCTTCTCTCAAGCCTCTGTCTCTCAGCCTTCTAAGACTGCATTTCGTTATCAGTTCACCCCTGGGAGCTGCTTGGCAGAACTGGCCCTACACACCAGGAAACTGGAGGAAGGATGAAAGACTGGAAGGACTGTGGTTGTGGAGGAGACCAAAGGAATGCCGCCCGCGGTAGAATGTTGGCAGGTCTTGCATAGCGCTACAGACACAACATGTGGTGGCCTAAGCACCCTAATTTCTTTGTTTCTGCCTAGCCAGTATAACAGTCCAGAAAACCTCCTTTCCTTTAGGAAATACTCAGGGATATTAAAATCGAATTCAGAAAAGAATTGGCTCATGCATGAAACTATTATAGACTAACACAATATCTCTAGGTCCCAGAACATTAGAACCCGGAGCTAGTAAACAATCTGGTGTGTGCAGACTGCAGGCTTCAAGGCAGTGTTTATAGATAGACTTGACAAGCAACAAAAACAGATCTATTTTGATTGGATTCTGTATTCAAACTTAAAGATCCTCTTCCAACCCAGAGATTGGACTTCAGGGCTCCAGAAAATTCAGTTTAAAACTATGACTTAAACAATGCTATTAACTTGATCTATAGGTCGTTATGTATCATTGTATCATATATAATTATATATATATATATACACACACACACACTATATCTATTAGAATATCCCCACCCAACAAAGAACAGAATACACATTATTTTCAAGTACACATAGAGCATTGATAAAGATACATCGCATTTTAAGCCATAAAACACACCTTAACAAATTATTAAAAATTGAAACTATACAAAATGTTTTCTCTAAACATAAAATAGTTAAACTAAAAATTACAGATGTCTGAAAAACTACTTGATATTTGAGATTTAAACAGCATACTTCTAAATAACCCATGAATCCAAGCAGAAGTAGATGTCAATTGGTAAATATTTTGAACTAAATGGAAGTGAAGAGTTCAAAATTTGTGGGATGCAGCTAAAATGGTGCTTAGAAAGACATTGATTAGAAAAGGTCTCAAAATTAGTGATAAACCACCTTAATAAACTTGAAAGAGAAGAGCAAATAAAATACAAAACAAGCAGAAGAAAGGGAATAATAATAAAATTGAAAATAGAAATACAATAAAGAAAAATAAAAAACTCATTCTTTTAAAATATCAATCAATAAGCCTCTAGTCATACTGACAAAAAAGAGAAGACAAAAATTACCAATATCAGGGTCACTGAAGAACCTACAAGTACTACAAGGATATTGCAAGAATATTACAAATAATTATATGCCTATTAATTAGACAATGTAGATGAATTGGACACATTTTTTAAAAGGCACAAACTACCAAATTTTATTGAAGAAATAGCTAAACCTAAATAGTCCTATATATGTTAAGAAAATTAAATTTACATTTAAAATCCTTCTCCACTAAAAAACAATAAAGACTCCAGATCCAATTGGCTTCACTGGCAAATTCTATAAAACCTTTTAAAAATAAATAATACCAACTCTACATAAACTGTCTAAAAAATATAAAGGAAAATAACTCTGTCTGATGCAGTTTATGAAGGCAGTATTACTCTGATACCAAAACCAGGAAAAGAAATTACAAGTAAAGAAACTTAATATCTCTCATGAACATAGCTGCAAAAATCCTAAATGAAATATTACCATATCAAATCCAGCAGTATAACAAGAAAAGGTTTTAAGTAGCGATTAGTTGGGATTTAATCTGGGAATGCAAATCTAGTTCATTATTGAAAATGTATCTATGTAATTCACCATATCAGTAGATGAATGATCATCTCAGCAGATTCAAAAAGAGCATTTGAAAAACTTCAATATCTGATTGTAACAAAAAGGGGACATTGGTAAACTGAAAAAGGGCTGCTATAAAAAACCTATAGCTAACAGCATACTTGATGACTGAATTCTTTCTTATCAGGCCAGGAAACAGGTAGGAGTGTATACTCTCATCACCTATGTTAACCATTGTACTGGAAGTCTTAGCCAATGCCATAAGGCAAGAAAAAATAAAAGGCATAAAATTGACGAGGAAGAAATAAAACTATCTATCCTTAGATAACATGACTGTCTACATAGAAAATTGCAATAAAATTTTTAAAATCTAGAATAATTGAGTTTAACAAGGTTGTAGAATGCAAGGGCATGATACAAAAATCAGTTGAATTTCTATAAGCAATGAATATATGAAAATCAAGATTTTAAATAGAAATCTTTAACAAAATATGAAAATTTTAGACATATATATATATATACACACACACACCAATATATATGCTAGTTCTGTATGCTGAAAACAAAAAAGTGAAGAAAAATTAAAGCAAACCTAAATAAGTGGAGATATATAGCATGTTTATAGATTGAAAAACTCAGTTTGGCCAGCCACAGTGGCTCACGTCTGTAATCCTAGCACTTTGGGAAGCCAAGGTGGGTGTATTACCTGAAGTCAGGAGTTTGAGACCAGCCTGGCCAACATGGTGAAACCCCATCTCTACTAAAATACAAAAAGAGCACTTACAAAATTGAAAATAGAAATACAATAAAGAAAAAAACAAAAATACAAAAATTAGCTGGATGTGGTGGCATGTGCCTGTAATCCCAGCTACTCAGGAGGCTGAGGCAGGAGAATCGCTTGAACCCAGGAGGTGGAGGTTGTAGTGAGCCGAGATTGTGTCATTGCACTCCAGCCTGGGCAAAAGAACAAGACTGTGTCTCAAAAAAAAAAAAAGAAAGAAAAGAAAAAAGAAAGAAAAACTCAGTCTTGTTAAGAGGTCAATTCTCCTTACACTATCATTTCGATGCAATTTCAATCAAAATCATGGCAAGACATTTTATAGAAAATTGATATGGAAAGGCAAAGGAATGAAAAAACAGTTTTGAAAAAGAATAAAGTTGAAGAAGGCTTACACTATCTGATTTCAAGGCTTCTTATAAAGCTACAGTAATCAAGAGTGTGTGATTTTAGACAAAATTAGAATAGAGGATCACAGTAGAGAATCTGTAAACAAATACACTTATATATGTTCACAAACATACAAAGGTAGTTCAATGGAGAAAGCAGTTTCTTCAACAAATAACTGAAGTAGTGAAATAGTGCCGGAGCCACTAGATCCATAGGCAAAATCATATCATATGTGGCCAGGAGTTTGAGATCAGTCTGGACAAAATAGTGAGACCCTATCTTCACCAAAAAAACACCAAGTGTGGTGGCGTCCACCTGTAGTCGCAGCTACTCAGGAGGCAGAGCTGTGAGGATGGCTTGAGCTCAGGAGGTCAAGGCTGTAGTGAGATATGATTATGCCACTGCACTCCAGCCTGGGCAGCAGAGCAAGACCATCTCAAAAAAATTGTAAACAAATATTTCTAGCAGTGAGATATGATTATGCCACTGCACTCCAGCCTGGGCAGCAGAGCAAGACCATCTCAAAAAAATTGTAAACAAATATTTCTAGCAGCTTTATTCCTAACCACCACAATGTAGAAACAACGTAAATGTCCTTCAATAGGTAAATAGATAAACAAAATATAGTACATCCATGCAAAGAACTACAACTCCGCTATTAAAATGAAGAAACTACTGATACAAGCAACAACATGGGTTTCAAAAGCATTCATCCAAGTGAAAGGAGCCTACGTAAAAAAAAATCCTTTTATATGATATTTCGGAAAAGGCAAAATTATAAGAACAGAAAATAGACCTGTGGTTTCCAGGTGCTAAGGATGAGGGACAGGTTGACTAAAATGGGGCGGCACATAAGAATCACTGAGGATGATAAGAGAGTTCTGTGTCTTGAGTGGGGTGGTTGTTACATAACTATGAATATTTGTATGCTAATATAAGTAGACTTCATGTAAACTAAAATAAATGAACTATAAAATACATTTAGTTCTGACCATGGATGTAATGAATTCCTATCATGTCACTTCTGCATCTGTTTTGAAAGTAGGTTTAACTTTCTCATTCCAGAAGCTGGCTTAGTCACCCTGGACACAGTTTCCAGCTTTCTGCCTATTCCTAGTTTCTCAATGTTCTTAATCCACATATCTACCTTATACAACTGGCTCTTGGTTACCACCTCTCCACAAGGCAGCTAGATACAACCCACTAAACTGGCCCAACTGGCCCCACTGACCCCACATGCCACACAGACTACACAGATATGCCACAGTGACTTCTCAGTCACAGCATGACCCCATGGGATGCATGCCTGCTTGCTCTAAACCCACCACTTAGAACTCTCTGAAGGAGACCTGCTTGGGTAAGAACACCCTGGACCCCAAACAAAGGCCTTGGCCCATGGGTTCATCTTTCTGTCTGGCCCCCGGTTGAGCATATTGTACCTGCAACCTTCCTACTGGCCCTCATTTTTACTCTTCTCATCTTTGGTGCTGTAAGAAAATGCTTCTGCTATTTCATGGGTTTTGTTGCCTCTGTCCATTCTACTGGCACACTTGAACCTGACTTTTCTCTTGGTCAGAGCTCTCCTAGATTGGCTATCTTGGTAGAAATAAACTGGACACAGGTCAGACAAGAGCCACAAGAGCATCTGCCAACATAAGTTTCCTGTGAGATGGACACTTGGACACGCAGGGCCCGACTTCTGGGGGCTCCTTGGTAGGATGCAGGGCTCTCATTAGAGTCCCCATGGGGTCCCTCTTGTGGAGACACAGGCAGGAGGGACCCCATGGGGACTCTAATGGCAGCTGAGGGGCACAGCAGGAGCTGCGGGGTCTGCGGGGGGCCAACCGTGGTCGCCGCCCTTTCCCGCCCGCTCCGAAAAGGGCGCTCCTGCCTGCCCACCCCCATTTTAAGCCAGTACAATAAATAGCAAAATAGCAAGGATCTTTCCCTACGTGCTATGAAAGGCCCAACCGTGAGCTCCTGGAGCGCTCCTGGAGGGAGTGGAGATCTAACCAGACCTTTATGACTATTATAAGGCACAAAGAAACGTATAAACTGAAGCTGTATTAAGACCTGCGACTTTTCCAAGAGGAAAGGCGTTAGACGGCCTTTCAGGCAGAACCCAATAAATATCCAGCCAGAGAGACCGAGGTTGATCTGAGGATCGCGCAGATTCAGCTTCTCAGTGCCAAGAGGAAGTGGCTAGACACTTAGGCATTGGATCATCCACCTGGATAAAAAAGTAGCATGTGAAAGGCACACTGTAAACGTACATGACCAAATTCCCCAGAGACGACAGGTGCAGTGCCTCAGGTCTGTAATCTCAGCACTTTGGGAGGCCGAGGTGGGAGGACTGCTTGAGCCCAGGAGCTCAAGACCAGCCTGGGCAACATAGGGAGACCCTGCCTCTAAAAAAAAAAAATTCCCTGGACCCCCACTAAGGCAGTATTATGGTTTATGGCCATTCTCCAAAGACAGACCTCAAGACCAAATTAGAGAGGAATACAATGAGATAGTGGTTTCATCTTTCTCGATACAAGGCAGCAGTGTTAGACACACAAGAGGGATTTTTGACTTTCAATGTAAGCACAGCTCATACACTGATGCGTAGGGAGGGTTGGCAAAAAGCTCAGAAAATCAAGTGTGAGTTGGGGCCAAGTTGGGAAGGTTTTGTCCACATCTGGGAAAGATGTCAACAAGGGAGAACCTGAGGTATCTGTGGGACCAAAAGATAGTCTCCTGGGCACAGATACAGCGATAGAAAGGCTGGTAGAGCCGTCACAGTGTAAATAAGGAAGCTGACATTTCCAGAAGTAATTATGGGAGAGCGGATCTAAGAGATATAGACACAGGAAAGACAAATGAATGTTTTAAAAATTCAATTTATGAAGTTCAGGAAAACAGATGATAGGGACCTATTTTTCCTCCAAGACAAGAGGAAAAGATCAAGTCCAACTGTCGTCCCACCAAGAGCCATCTACGTTGTCCCTACTGTCAGACTAAGGGACACACCTAAAGCCGATTAGCAAAGTACTTGCTGGTGCTCAGTAGGTGGTCAGTGACTAGATCTGCTGTACTTTTCAGTCCTATACATGCCAGTGGCTGTCTTACTTGGCAACTAAGTAAAGCACTTCCTGGCGGCAACTTTTATTTGTGTTATTTTACACAATCCATGAAAGGTTTACCATGGTCCTTGCGTTGCTCACTCCTATAAATAACATAGTATGTTCCAAAAAGGAGATCTGGACACCCAAAAAACCAAGATCTGGCCCAAAGATTCTTCCTGATAGGCTAAGGCAGGGGTTTGTGCAGTGCTGAGTTACCTTATTAAGGAAGAGTTGTAAGTAATCTTAAAATACTATAGTGATTGAAAAAAATCATTGCCTTCCCTCTTCTCTCATTTTTGTTAAAGGAAAATATTTATCCAAATGAAAACAGAAGCCTTGACATATGTTGTTCTTTGTAGTGTTACAAATTACTTCTCAAAAAACAAACCCTTTTATATAAATAAGCAAAAATAAATACATATGTTATAAATTCATATTGAATTACATCTAATAACATGTTTAAGAACAAAGGTTTTATGGTCATTTTTTTAATCCAAACAAAAACACTGCTGATATCAAAGTAAAACACTAAAAACTACTGCAAACTATTTCAAAAGAATTACACAAAAATTATTTTTTGTCTCTTTGTTTTCACACAATTTCCTGGTATGCTTGAGACCAATAGAAATTGGAACAATTATAGTTTTTTTTTAAAAAAATAGTTTTAAAAATTAAAAAAAATAAAGCAAAGCTAAGACATAACTTGGAAGCCTAGAATAAGCGTTCTGAAGTTGGAAACATTTGTTTTATCTTCCTAAACCTAAAGAAAGGGTCAGTCAGGGGACACAGCAGGGGGACAAAGTAATATCACGGTGTGGGTGACAATTTGACACAAAGTGACAATAAATTTTATTCAGCTGTGGTGTGAAAAGTGGTGTCTGGGAAAGAATAGCAATAAACATGCTTCAGCCTCCAGCAGAAGGTCTCCCCCCTTGTGAACCTGCAAACCTGCTATCTTCCTTCTATCTCAGCACTCAAGGGCCACAGAGAGTAGAAGGGATAGGGGCTGACTTGAAACCACCTTTGCAAGAATCGTAACTGAGAAAATTATGACAGTCAAAGAGATATGACCTAACTGACTTCATCCTGCTTCTAACCTCCAAGCTGTCCTTGTTCATTCCTGGGTGTATGTGGAACTAACTTTGGGAGGAATTTAGATTATAGTTTAGGTTTGAAACAAATGCCAAAACAGCTCTTTCCCAAAACAAGCCCCCTTCTTGCCTGGGGACTAGACTGCCTTTGCAGGTCTAACAAATTAGCAACAAGATTAGAAATTACGGTTTAGGAGTCACTGTTGCAAAACCTGAGATCACTGCTTGAGATATTTTTGCAGACCCTACATTCCGATGTACCAGTTGACACCATCCAGATCGATAAACTGGCTCTTCTGGTCTTGTAACCCGCCCCCCACTCCGCCACCACCCTCCCAATGAACTCAGCACAAAAGAACAGCTTCAACTCCCTGTGATTTCATCTTCCACCTGACCAATCAGCACCTCCCACTTTCTGACCCTCTACCCACCAATTTATCCTTAAAAACCCCATCCCTGAATTTCTGGGGAGATTGATTTTGAGTAATAAAATGGCATCTCCCATGTGGTGTGACTGGCCTCATGTCAGACTTTTTATTTTTTTTTTCCTTTTTTCTTTGTTTTTTTGAGACAGGGTCTGGCTCTGTGGCCCAGGCTGGAGTGCAGTGGTGCAATCACTGCTCATGGCAGCCTGAATCTCCTGGGCTGGAGCAGTCCTCCTGCCTCAGTCCTCCGGGAGCTGGGACTATAGGCCGCACTACCACACCCAGGTAATTTTTATATTTTTGTAGAGATGGGTTTCACCATGTTGCCCAGGCTGGTCTGGAACTCCTGGGCTCAAGGGATTCTCCCAATTCTGCTCCCTAAGTGCTGGGATTACAGACATGAGCCACCCCACTGGCCTAAATTGTTTCTTTACTGCAATGCCCTGGTCTTTATTTGTGCAGCATACCCATTGGGATGTTACAGACTCAGTCAGATAATCGAGGAAAGGGGCTTAGGTCGCCTGCCC
This sequence comes from Homo sapiens, assembly GCF_000001405.40. Lineage (NCBI taxonomy): Eukaryota > Metazoa > Chordata > Mammalia > Primates > Hominidae > Homo > Homo sapiens. The sequence continues at coordinate 6,962 of NW_003315956.1, read as the reverse complement.
CAAGAGCCCCGTGACTCTGGCTCTCAGCTGCGCCACAGCCTCCAGTTGGCTCAAGTGGCAGGTTTCTTAGCCTTGTGCTCCAGGTTGTGTCAAGTTTCATGAGGCCCCTGACATTCTCACTGCTTTCAACCTGTGGCTTCCCCGGGCTGTGCTCCTCGTCCCGCCTGTCCCCAGGTGTGGGCTTGTAGGACCTAGCCATGCGATCTGTCGCCACCCGCCCCCCCACCCAACGCCCGACGTGGAGACAAAGGGTCTAGTCCCTCCAGGGCAGGAGCGGCTTGGCCGCGGGCTTTTCCTGCCGCCGATCCAGCTTTCCCTGTGACGGTGAAGGGCCGCGGGGCTCCGCCGAGGGCCACCCAGGGCTGTGGGGCTTCCCGGAATGGTGCGGACTCGGGGACAGCCCGCGCCGCGACCAGGCCCTTAGTGCTCCAGGTGCGCGCCGGCCGCCCGGACGCGGGGTTCTGATCCTCCCAAAAGCGGGTCAGAGGTTGGACACACTCCACCAGGCCAACCGACCCCACGCAGGGCCCGACTTCTGGGGGCTCCTTGGTAGGATGCAGGGCTCTCAGTAGAGTTCCCATGGGGTCCCTCTTGTGGAGACACAGGCAGGAGGGACCCCATGGGGACTCTAATGGCAGCTGAGGGGCACAGCAGGAGTTGCGGGGTCTGCGGGGGGCCAACCGTGGTCGCCGCCCTTTCCCGCCCGCTCCGAAAAGGGCGCTCCTGCCTGCCCACCCCCATTTTAAGCCAGTACAATAAATAGCAAAATAGCAAGGATCTTTCCCTAAGTGCTACGAAAGGCCCAACTGTGAGCTCCTGGAGCGCTCCTCGACGGAGTGGAGAGCTAACCAGACCTTTATGACTATTATAAGGCACAAAGAAACGTATAAACTGAAGCTGTATTATTAAGACCTGCGACTTTTCCAAGAGGAAAGGCGTTAGACGGCCTTTCAGGCAGAACCCGATAAATATCCAGCCAGAGAGACCGAGGTTGATGTGAGGATCGCGCAGATTCAGCTTCTCAGTGCCAAGAGGAAGTGGCTAGTTTCAGCGTCCACGGTTCCCATGGTGACTCTCCTCACTTCCGGCCGGGCGCAAACGCACCCCTAGCCACCCGCCCTAATACGAGGATAGCCCGTGACAACCAGAATGCAGTATCCCTAAAGCCTCTGCAGTCCCTGCGATTGTGGGATCCTGACTATGTCAGGATTTTGGCTTTGCAGGGTGTGGCAAGGTGAAGGGTCTGGTACTCCCTCTTGGGGGTCGTGGAGCGTTGGGGGTGGGTGTGGAGAAGGAGGCTTGGGGAGGAAGGGAGTTAGTGACCTGGGCCCAAGACCCTAGAGACTTGTCCAGGTGCCCCCACTCCCAGGCCCAACCAGCCCAGCCCTACTGGACTGGCAGTGAGGGCTCACTTTAAGAGGAAAGGGTGACGTCCCATGTTACTAAGTCAGACTTAATATTATTAAGGTGGCAATACTCCTGAAATTGTTCTACGCATTCAACGCAACTCCTGTCTCCAAGCTGACTTTTTTTGCAAAATTAGACAAGCCGATCCTCAAATTTACATGAAAATTTAAGGGACCCAAAATAGCCAAAATAATATTGAAAAAGAACAAAGTTGGAGGACTCACATTTCCCAGTTTCAAAATTCTATAAAGCCACAGTAATCAAGACATACAGATACTCAGTACTGGCATAAGGATAGACATATAAATCAATAGAATAGAATTGAAAGTCCAGAAATGAACCCTCATATTATGGTCAATTGATTTGATTTTTCTCTCCCTCCCTCCCTCCCTTCCTTTCTTCCTTCCTTCCTTCCTTCCTTCTTTCCTTCGTTCCTTCCTTCTCTCCCTCCCTCCCTTCTTTCTTTCTTTCTTTGTTTCTTTCTTTCTCCTCCTTCCTTCCTTCCTTCCTTTCCTTCCTTCTTTCTTTCTTTCTTTCTTTCTTTCTTTCTTTCTTTCTTTCTTTCTTTCTCTCTTTTCTTTCTTTCTTTTTCTTTTTTGATACAGGGTCTTGCTCTTGCCTGGGGCTGGAGTGCAGGGTGAAGTCACACCTCATTGCAGCCTCAACCTCCCAGACTCAAGCAATCCTCCCACCTCAGCAGGCATATATAAATGGAATCATCGAAATTTAAAATTTGCACTTCAAAGAACACCATCAAGAAAGTGAAGACAACCCAGAGAATGGGAGAAAATATTTGCAATCATATATCTGATAAAGGACATGTATACAGAATTTTGTAAAACTATTACAACTGAATAATAAGAACAAATAACACAATGAAAAAAATAGGCAAAGTATTTGGTTAGATAGTTCTCCAAAGAAGATATATAATGGCCAATAAACACATGAAAAGATGCCGAACATCATTAGCCATCAGGGAAATGCAAATCAAAACGACAGTAAGATACCACTTCCCACCTACTAGCTTGACCGTAATCCAGAAGACAGATTACAAGTATTGGAAAGGATGTGAAGAAATTACAACTTTCATAACTTGCTGGCAGGAATGTAAAATGGTGCAACCATTTTGGAAAACAGTCTGGCAGTTTCTTCAGTCAGTAAAACATACCATATGACCCAGCAATTCCACCCCTAGTTGTATACTTAAGAGAAATGAAAATGTGTGCACCAAGAACTTGTATATGAATGTTCATAGCTGCAAAATCCATAACAGTCATTATGTGGAAACAACCTAAATGTCTATCAGCTGATGTATGAATAAACAAAACATGCTATGTTCATACAATGGAATATTGTTTGGCCATAGTAAGAAATGGTACCAATACATGCTACAATGTGAATGAACCTTAAAAACATGCTAAGTGAAAGAAGTCAGTCACAGAAAACCACATATAATATGATTCTATTGATATGAAATATCCAGAATAGGCAAATATACAGAGATAGAAAGATTAGTGGTTGCCTATGGGGAGGGGCTTGGGGAGTGGTATCTAAATGGTGCAGTTTCTTTTGGAGGTAGTGAAAGAGTTCTAAAAAATGACTGGGAGGCCAGGTGCATGGCTCAGGCCTGTAATCCCAGCACTTTTGAAGGCTGAGGCAGGAGGATTGCTCGAGCCAAGGAGATCAAGATCAGCCTAGGCAACATAGCGAGACCCCATCTCTATAAAAAAAATTAATTAAAGGAAAAAGATGATCAGGGCAGTAAATACACAAGTCTGTGATTATACTAAAACCATTGAAATGTAAACTTTTAATGGGTAAATTGCATAGTATTTGGATTATATCTGAATAAAGCTGTTTTTAGAAAAATACTCGATGCCTTTCACTAGCGTTCGGAAAGATTTATTTAAATGCATAAAGATTGGTTAATAGAAAAAAGTGGGTTTTGAAAGAAGGAACCCCTTTTTTTTAAGGAAAGGGGTGTGATAGGATTTGAAAGATGAGGAAAGCTAATGAGGGCCCCTAATTCCCCCACCCCACATCTCTCATAGGCCAGATTTAAAATATACAAATTCCATACCTGGAGAATTATCATTGGGATCGTGAACACTTTTACTCTCCCCTAGACTCCCAGGATAGTTGTCCCCTTGCTATGTGTAGTGTGTGACATGGAAAAGGGGATTGGCCCAGGCAGGAGACAGTGCCTGAATAGGTGGTTAACCAGCCATGTGTTCCTGGGTTCCTGCTGCTCTAAGTGACTCTTGAGATTTTCCTGAGCCTGCTTGATTTGATTGTAATTGAATTGTGAGAACTTGCTGTGTAGAGTTGGTCCTGCAGGCTTGGAAATGGGAACAGCAGGTACCTTCAAGGACAGAAACAGTGAAGGAGGCCTGGGGAATGCTGCGTGCTGCAGATTATTGATGGGCCTTCCACAGTACTCCAGACGAAGGCAACTTAAACTGTTGGTCAAGCACCTCTATTCTGTTGTTCCTTCAAACCAACCCCGAGAAGCCACATTAAAAACCCCCTTTGCACATAGACAATTACAGAGATGGTAATGAAACCAATTCTGTGTTCACAGCACTGCAGGAAACACAACTGTGGATTCAATTCACCTTGTGTGGTTTACTCTTCAAGAGATGCTTAGTTCTTACCTTCAGGGAGTTTATAATTTCATTGAGGAAACAACTTGCTCATATATGAAACCATTGCAGATTAACAAAATTACAGGAGTGTTCTGGTGTCTGTAACGGCAACTTTTGGAAGAGAACACAGGGATAATCAAGAAAAAAAATTATCATGAACACAGACCAGTACCAAAGGGTTTTATAATGCTCCATTTTGTGTATGACAAACCTCAGATTTGCTCTGTCTTCTGTAGGACCAAGGACATCATGATCTGGGGCTAAAAAACACAAACTGGAAGCTTCTGCAGGCTATAAAATTCAAGGTGATATTTACAGATGAGCTTTGCGATGGATAGAAACTGACCTATTCAGGATAGAAATTGGTTCGTAGGAGTTGGGTAGGAATAAAAAGTAGAAGAATCTACCACCAAACCAGAGAAGCAAGCCTATTTAATTCTTTTTGGTTTTTTCAGAGGGCGTAAGTGGGAAAGGAAGAAGTCAGATTAGAAAACTGGTGCACTTGTTCCTCTCTAGGAACCTGAGTGTGATAAGAAATGTGGGCCAGGTGCGGTGGCTCACACCTGTAATGCCAGCACTTTGGGAGGCTAAGGTGGACAGATCACCTGAGGTCAGGAGTTCGAGACTAGCCTGGCCAACATGGTGAAACCCCATCTCCACTAAAAATATACAAATTAGCTGGGTGTGGTGGTGGGCACCTCTAATCCCAGCTACTCAGGAGGCTGAGGCAGGAGAATCACTTGAACCTGGGAGGCGGAGGTTGTAGTGAGCTGAGATTGCATCACTGCACTCCAGCCTGGGTGACAAAAGTGAGACTCTATCTAGAAAAAAAAAAAGAAATGTGGCTGTTAGGGACGGGGAAGCTGTAGTAGGGAGGGAGCAGATTAGAATTAAAGCTACTAAACAAGTCCTCCTCATCAATGATATTAAATGACTGGTTCATGACATTTGGCAGTCTTTAAACATTTCAGAGACATCAGCTTGAAAGTATAATATATGAGGAAAAAGGATATTTGTGTCAGGTGTCCTAAGACCATCCTCAGGTTCAATGACTCACTAGAAGAACACACAGAATACAAAAACACTGCTAAGCTCCCAATTAGTTTGTTACAGCAAAAGAATACAGATTGAATGAGCAAAAAGGCTCATAGGCTATAGTACAGGAAAGACCATGCTTCCAGTTCTCCTCTCCTAGAGGAGTCATATAAACAGCACTTAATTATCCCAGAAACAGTGTTGTGATAACATGAATGAAGTATTGCAAACCAGGGAAGCTCATCCAAGCTTTGGTGTCCAGGGTTTTTATTAGGGGATTGGTTACATGAGTATGGAGGGTGCCATTGCTGACCTTGGTTACTCAGTCTCCGGCCTCTCCAGAGTTCATATTGATACCCTGTGGCCCAAGGTCCCCACCACAAATCACATTGCTATCATAAACTATCTGGTGTGGACCAAGATCCTAGGTAAATATAAACATTCTTTTTTTCTTTTTGAGACAGAGTCTTGCTCTGTCATCCAGGCTGGAGTGCAATGGCGTGATCTGGGCTCACTGCAGCCTCCACCTCCTGAGTTCAAGCAATTCTCCTGCCTCAACCTCCTGAGTAAGTGGGATTACAGGCACCCGCCACCACACCTGGCTAATTTTTGTATTTTTAGTAGAGACAGGGTTTACCCATCTTGGCCAGGCTGGTCTTGAACTCCTGACCTCAGGTGATCCACCCACCTTGGCCTACCAAAGTGCTGGGATTACAGATGTGAGCCACTGTGCCCAGCTGAACATTCTTATTAGGCAAGTAATTCTGAGCACTTTAAGGTTATCTCCCAAGAGCCAGTCAAATATCAGATTTTTTTTTCATGTGAAGGTTTGAACAACCAAGGCCTGCTGAGTTAATCTTTTACCGCATGGCACTATTTGGAGAGTTCCCATTCTGGACCTAATTCATATTATTCTCTCAGATGTCTTTCTAGGAGGATGTTAATTTTGCCCATTTTTATAGATGAGAAAAAGTTCTCAGAAAGATTAACTACACTCTGCAATGTAAAGCAGCTAGTATTAGTAGAGCCTAGAATCAAACTCAAGCTGTAACACTTTGTTCTTGAAGGCATGAACTGTAAAATATACCTCTAAAAACTATGACTTAAGATATTGCAATAGCCACAGAATATTTCAGTGTCATTGAAAACATAAGATAGATATTGAATCCCTTGGTCTTATTTTTCTGGCATGTTTCAGCAAATTCTGCCTGAATTTGTGCCTGAATGGACATTAACCTCATGAGAGACCTACAATAGTTCCTTTGCATTCAGAGTCTGAGTTCTTTCCAGACTAGGGATGCTGCATAGAATGGCCTGGGCTCTAAATATATCCCTCCCACTGGCTGCTGTTTTTGCTGATTCTCAAGTCCACTCTCCCCTGGGCCAAAGTGGTTGTCAGTACCACCGTCACCCATCCTGGCTCCTCCCTGCTCCTTATTCAATTCACCTGCACTTGAATGACTTCTAGGCTTGGTTCCTGCTCTCAGCCCCTGTGTCCATTTGGAGAGTGAGTACCTGCTTTGATTCTTGCCCAAGGTCCAGTCTTGACCCAGTCCCTGCCTCCCGCAATCACAAAATGCCAGAAAGATTAGAGGGCCACAGTCTGTTTTTCATACTGTTTTAGACCATTGTGATATGGCTTAGTCACTTCCCAGTTCTAACTCAATGGGACCTAGCCCTCTGCTACACCCCTCTGCTCTCTCCCCACCCCAGCCCTGCCCTACCTAATCCACACTGAGTCTAGGCATCTGTAGATACCTTAAGCCCTGATTTTTTTTTAGCCAATTTTGAGTTCATTTGAATATTATATCAATGTCAGTAAATGAATTTAATAGTCATTATAATAGAATGATTTTCAGACTGGTCCAAAAAACA